>NC_000006.12:12484242-12635757 GCF_000001405.40 Homo sapiens
TTAAAGTCACCTCTTAACATTTCCTTACTTACTCAGCCTCACTCATCTTAAAAGGTAAGTCGCATTTAAAAGAAAATATTCTTAACTTGCGATAAGAGCAGAGAGAAGTTTTCCTGTCTTATATTTAATGCATGTAGATGACTGGTATTCACGAAGTTAATTTTTTCTTTAAGCCACAAAGAAAAAAAGTGGTGCATGTTTTCTAAAGAAGACCGGTATCTGTAATTGTGTCAATACTGATATTTTTGCTTTTAAATTCCTTCAATATTCAAAACGGTAGCTTATCTCTATGAAATGTTTCCTTTTTCCCTGTCCAATAACACATGGGTGGGAAGTTCAAACCTTTGTACTTTTTCTTTGAAGCAATTGCCCTAAGCCGGGAAAAGCTCTTTCATCAGCAAGAATTTTGAGTATTTTCTCTTTCCTCCTGATCAAGTTTAAGGTGTGTGCTCATAAACAAGATACGCAACTGTCAATAATCATCTTTTCAGCAAATAGAGCCAAAGTTAATTTATTAAACCCGGCAAGCTGCTCTCCTAGTTTTCTTCCCCCTGTGACATACTGTCCAATTATTTCACATTCTTGTAGTGTAAAATAAACACATTGAGTCTGTTGAGATACTGCTGTGGTTATTTATTTTTCAAAATTTAATAAGGAGGAGGATGACCTTTCCTCTTTGGACAGGAAACAAAATCAGACCTAACAGTGATACATTATCAATTTTCACAACCATGAAAATATTCCAGAAAACAAGCAGTTTTCTGTGCACTCAGGTGACTGCAAGCTGGCCAGTGAAGCCAGAAAGCCCAAATGCCTTCTAGATCTCAATTAACTACCCACTTACTTGAAAGGTTTTATTGACTATAATTTTGATAACGATGCATAATTATATCAACTTTCTTTCCTCATCGAATTCTACTACAAATCCCGGGCCGAAAGGGGCACATGAGTCTGTTCTTGATGAACAGACAGAAAAAAAGAAGACAGAAAAAAAGAACTTGAAGAGTCTGAAAACAGGTTTAGCTGAGGCATGTGCCATGGTAAATTTGCTTTGTGAAACTAAGCCAAATACGTTTATTTTCCTACATCTGCATTTCTCATAATGTCGCAGGTAACATAAACAGGTTCTCTCACCCAACACTGTAATAACGATGGAAATCAATGATAAAGTTAAAGACAACTACATCTGCATATACATACCAAACGAACAAACAAAAATCTGTCAGCAATCTTGGGGGTAACATGAGGCTTCTGGATTCTTCTTTCCTATTTCTCTACTTGCATTCTTGGCTTTGGCGTAAGTAGAAGAGCTTTCATAGCCAGAGGCAGAACACTGGTGTGTGTGAGTCAGTCAAGGGCAGCAACGTTTGAAGATTCAGATGCATAACGATATTTATAATTGAAAAAAATCTATATTTCATACAGATATTGCAAATTCCGTGGCAAAAGGGAGAAAGCAGTTAAACAAGCAGGGAGACAACATACAGCTCTCCTCTGAGAGTTGAAAGAAAAAAATATTTTTTAGGATCAATCCTCAATAACCTCCAATTTTCATCTTTACAGATTGTTAGCTTGAATCACAGTTGTTGTTTAAAGAGGACGGATGTTGGGGAGAGGAATGGTTACTGATTCCCAGATTTTTTAAAAATGCAATGCAAGGAGAATTCTGAGGAGGGAAGCACAATGTCTGGATTCACTATTTTCCCCTCTCCGGGTGGTGGCTTGATGATGAGAAGATACAACCCTGTCATCATCACTCTCTTCTTAGGACTTGCAGCAGAAAGCACTCTTCTCATTGTAAGCAAGCTTCATGAAAATTAGCCTGGAAGAAAGAAGACTGGCAAGATATCGGCCATACTGTTGAAATTGAACCCTGGGAAACAAAGATATGTACATACCAAAGTCAAACTTTTACTAGGAAGGTTTGGATTGTCAAGGCTCAGGTGTGATATTTCAGTCTTGGTCCTATTTACTTAGGATGCAATTCAGAAGGTTAAAGTTGGCCCTGGGAGATCCAATAAAAAATATACCTGAGTCCAAATTAATCTAGATCTACAATTATTACTTTTAATTCATTACTATTATGGATATATATATATGTTAGGAATTAGCAGCAGAGTGAATCAGTATGATATTTTAAGGATTATGCTTTTATGCTTTTAAATTTTAGATAATACATTTCCTAATATTAATTTTAAAACACTCTCTTTGCCATGCTGTTAAGAATTCTACTTTTTTTTTTTTCATTTTTATCTTCCTAACTTCTTATTGTGACATTGTTGGCCAGATCCTAAATAATTTTAGATACAAGCAAAAGTTTCCTTGTATGAGTGAATAGAATGCTAAGTCTCTTTGGAAGTATATTTATACATTTTATTGTAAAGTTTAATTTTGATTGTGCATTTGTGTTTGTGCTTTAGATTTCAGGATTATGGTAGCTTTCCTACCCAAGTATTGGCTGAAACAGCCAATACCCTTCTTTAAAAAATTTCTGTAAACAGGTTTCTACACATTGCTAACATGAATAAACAACTTTCCTTCTACCTCCAAGTTCGTCATTTCGTCTGGCAGTCATTGAAAATTACCATATGTTGGGGGTTGACACCGAGACAAAATATTCAGACTGTTAGGCCCTACGGTTCACCTTTTCCTACAGGGTGTTTTTTGTTTGTTCCTTTCTCTCCTTGTTGTCTTTTTTTTTTTCTTGGATAAAGCATTCAAGAAATCCTTGATGTGGGACAAAATTTTATTGTGGTTAAGACTTACTCTTTCCAAGATGAAACAGCCAATAAAGATCCACCAGAATGCATTCAGGCAGGCAGCAACAATGTCTTCCAGCTCCCTAGCAGGCAAGTCATCTGTGGTCTACTTCCCTCCTCTCTGTTTACTGAAAGACAACAGTCAGTGGGAAAAGCACTGCTCCAGCTTTCAATTCTGTTAGAACAGGGTCTTTTCTCCCACGATGGCTTCTTGGCCTTCTGAGTGAAATGTCCAGTGAGCTGGCTTGGCACATTTCAGTGGAGGATTTGGCACTTAGAAGAGAATAGCTCAGCTGTCATTTCTTAGTGAAATATAAATAATTCCAGAGAGAAGCAGAAGAAAAAATTAACAGTCCATTCTGAGTCTTTGTCATGAGGGTTCCACAGGGCCAATTTTTTTTAACATGTCCTCTGAGATACTGGCCTAGCAAGGCCCTCCTTCCTAGTTAAACCAGATGCCAACCAAGATGGAAAGCGTCCCTGGAAAGAGAGCTGTTTCTTTCCACTTCATTCCCCAGCCTTTTTTCCTGATGGGATTTCAAGAAGGTTAGTATCCTGAAGATGCAGACAGAAGCAAGCTGGTCAAGAATGCTCCAGGAATCCCAGGGACCTCAGATCAACTGTCCTAAGGCAAGAAGGCCCTCACAGGAAAGACTCTCATACTAAATACTGTAGATTCCTGGAGACTTTTGGATGCAAATGACAGAAACCTAAATCAATCCAGCTTAAGCCAAAATAACAAGAGCAAACAGAAGAAGAATGTTTTGGAAGTCTACACGTGATTGTACCCTCGGATTTGAAGGCGGTCTTCAGCAGTGTATGCCTCTATTCTCCTGTATTCACAGGCAGGTCCCCAGCAACCCTGAGCCGACATAGATCTCCGAACTTGTGATCTCAAAGAAAGAAGGACCATCTCTTCCAATAGCTCTGGCAAGGGCCAAGAAAGGGCTCTGATTAGGCTGGTCTGAATCATATGTCCATGCCTAAATCAATCTTAGTGGCCAGCAAGCTGGGTGGCCAGAATTGAATCAAGTGTTCATTCCTAAGGCTAGTGGGGACTTAGGGATCACTTGGACTGAAAAGTATCATTGAAGATTCAGGGAGAGTTTGTTTTCTAAGGCAATATCTATCAGACACACAAGAAAAAATATGTCCTCTGCATATGTGGAAACACCTTGATGAGGCATTAATTGAAAGAGACCCAAAGTGTCTTGGTGCTCCAAGAAGTAGAGCATCCCACAGGAAGCTTGCATAAATCTTAATGTCAATTGGAAAGTGGAGCTGGGGATTAGATTTTAAACACACTCCATTTCAAGCAATTTCACTGCACTTTTACTGGGTGATCTGGTCCTGAGTGACACTGTGGACTCGGTTATATTTGGGTTTGGGGTTTTTATCTCTTATTTTTGTGGTCCTGTTTTCTTTTCCTTTCTAACACTGTCCATGAGAGCACTTACACTTCCCAAGCCATTTGACCCTGATGTCCCACAGCTAAACAATGGCATGAACATTCTACCCCTCACTCTCTCCCAAAATGACCTACCCTATGCTTTAAACCCGAAAGACCTTCAGGGAAATCAATGACTAATATCAACTAAAATGAGCATTATTTGTAACAAGGTAAGATACTACTGACATTTTAAGAATAATCAGACCTCAATCTTATGGCTTCCAAACTTTGGAATTTGTACAGGAGAGAGAAAGAAAGGGCTGGGGGTGGGGAGAGAGAGAGAGAAAGAGAACAAGAGGAAGAAGAAGAGGAAGAGGAGGAGGAAGAAGAAGAAGAAAAGGGAGGAGGAGGATCAGGGTAGCAGTGCTGGCTTCAGAGATGCTGAGGAAGGAAAGGGAGGAGAGGAAGAAAAAAGGAGGGAAGATTAAGGAAAAAATTGGGGTTTTTTAACCATTTTATTTTGCCAAGTTAAGGACCTTAAAAAGCCACAACAAAACTACCATTTAATACCATGAATGCATTATAAAAGAGAAGATATTTTAATACCAAAATATTTGAAAAGGGTTTAGTTTCATATTACAAGAAACTCTCTTAAATTAAAAAAATTACATCGTGTTTTGAAAACTCACTGAAATGTCCTAAATTAGCCAGAGATCATTTAATGCTTTATCCAAAGCAGCACTTGCTAAAGATGAGTATTTGGGTACCATAGCCTTACCCCAGAGAGATTAATGATGGAAGTTGTGGGGCCATGGCTCATCAGTGGGAGAATTTTATGCCACTGTGCCCTTGTACCTGGAGATATAGGTTCCTCTATCTATAAAGGCATGACCTTGGTTCCAGGCCACAGATTCTGGTAGAACTTACACACATCTGAATCATCATCCCTAACGGAGACCTTTCAGCACTCAGCACAGCCTACATTTTACATAGAAGGGAAAACCAAGATGCAAGAGGTAAAGAAATTTGGCTAATATCACATTCTGTACGTAAATAGCATAGCCAAGACAGAACTTTTACAAATCAGGACTCGGTTGGCACTCGGACTGAAGGCAGAGAGTCCGCCTCTGAAGACTGAACATGCCCCTGGGTAAGCCCAAGTGTCAGGTGGGCAGAGACGGCCATAGGTGATGTGAAGGAGTCCCAGCCAGCTGGCAGTACACTTCTGCAAAAGGGAATGATGTTGAGGGAGAGAGTTCCAGCCTGGCCATCAGGGTGTTGTGCCTGGGATGTGGAGCTGTGAAAAGGACCCAGACCCATATTGTGGGCTTGGCAGTGTTCAGGCAGTTTTCATGAGGTCCAGGGAAGACCCTACTCCCAGAAACATTGTATTACTGAGCCAGTTATCAAGACAGGGGCTCCCTGGAAGAAAGGTCAGGGCCCAAGATTCTAGAAATGACATGTAAGATGAGCAAGAGCAAGATGGACTTTATCGGCTTCAGAATATCAGCACCTGTGGACAAGACAAGCTAATTGTGATATGAAAATTAGAATGTTAGCAGTGGAAGGAATGTTCCACATTGTAAACATGAGAACTGAAGGGAAGAAATGTGTAGGATTTTTTTCCCAGTAAAATGGCTGTTGTCTTTAATGTTTTCTTGTCCTTTGAGCTGCATTGCTGACACATATTAACCACAGTGTAAGAAAGTCACATTTGGATGCAAATGTGACCATGGAAGCAATATTAAAAGTAAAAGAAAAGATTTTGGTGAAACCATGGAGAAAGACATAGACTGGCTCTCAGGAGAACTGGAAATTAGCTGAATGCAGAGGGGCAGGGCTTTGTTGAAGCACTCATTAAAAAATCTCAGCATTAAGCCTGGGCAGAGGAAGAAGAATAATTGGAACTGAGGAAGCTTGAAATCCAGATGGTGTCAGTCAAGATGGAGGTTTAGCCTTTGCAGCTCCTCAACAGATTTGAAATCTAGTAGAACCATGAAACCCTGCCAAGTCAACTAAGAGACACTAAGAGCAAATTAGGCCTAAAATATAATCTGGGGCCTGAGTTTTGGATTAGGATTAATAAGACTTTTTTAGAGACTCAAGAGACCAAAAGAGAAAGCTCAGACTGAGTCCCAAGGAAATCATAGAATGACGCAGAGGTCATAATCCCTACCAAGATGAAAAACAGCAGGGAAAGACTAAAATTCCTCAGTGTTTAAGACTGTCAGAAGTTCGTACCTGAGGATTAACCTCCCATTGCAATAAAATTTAGTTATGTCATTTCTAAACTGATTAATTTCAGCTTGGAGTGAGTGGGATCAGAAACTGTGGCTCTGCCCACTTACTTCCCCTGTAACATAGCAGCCCCCTGGATATGGGAAATCTTTGGTGAATGTATCAGCAATTGAAACAAATGAAATATCTCTGGGACATTAATCATTAAACTTTCATATCTGTTATGACAAAAACAATACTCTGAGCACAGGCATTACTGGAAATTCATGAAATGAACCCTCTTTTTTGGGTCAGTGTTTACTACAGTACTGATTGTTTCAGAAAGAAAACTTTATGAAAGGAAATCAAGAGCATTTCTCCAACTCCACGAGCCCTGCAATAACAGGAAACAAAACTTCTATTTCTGTAGTTTTCCAGATAAGAACTGAATAGTGGATTTTTTTTGAAGACATGTGGCAAGTACTGTTTAAGACATATAAATTAATGTCTATTGCACAGGCTTGGCTGGGTGACTCACATTGCGGCTTCTATTTCTGGTGGGGGAGACTCAGATACATTTGTCATGACTCCAGTAAGTGGTAAAAAATGACAAATTGGCAGAGAAGAAGTTGTTGCTAACAATGTGGCCATTTCAGCCTTGGTCATTCAATGGGACCACTCTGCCCCAAGAACATTCTAGGCTGACTGTGAAGCACAGCAAAGCCTAACTAGTTACTATGCAGTTGAAGCCAATTTCTAGTGGCCTCCTAAGACTCCTACAGTTCAGATGCTCTCCAAGAGTAGACAAAACAATGGAAAGACATGCCAGAGTGTGCAAAGAATGAGGAAACATTTTCATGTTTCCATGTGCATTTTCTTGTTCATGCTTTCTGTTCACTGGAAACACAAGATGTAAGCAGAGATATTGGCAAAGAATGATGGGGCATTCCAATATTGAGACAATGGTATGAATGAATATTCATAATAAAGGTCAGATGCTTGGAGGTTGAAGCAAAATCAGGTGAAGAGTTGCCAGTGACTGTTTACAGTCTTGAGATCTTCATGCCTCCAGCATGAGACCTCATGAGAGATCCTGAGACCTCCAGGCTCCCCTCAATGAGATCTTCCATGGAAACTAGCACTCAGTCGCCTTAAAAGGGATCTTTCTTTGAATATGCAAAGAAGTGGTTTACTCAGTTAGTTCAGAACATATTTGCTAATTACAAATTATATACTTCAAGTACAATAGCTAGCTGGTCTATTACAATATACTTCCCCAAAGTTTTCACAAGTCACGTTGTAATAGCAAACATAATTAGGGAGGTATGTGTGTTTCATTTTAAAGTTTATCCTCTTCAGCAGCTCCGAAAAGGACAGGAAAGTTAGGTCAGAAATCCAGGAGGCCATTTAAGACACAAATCTCTCAAAACACACCGTCTGAGCACATGCTGATATGGAAATATGTACATTGAGAGATTCTTTAAGTTATAATGCAAAGGTTCTTTTTTTATTTTATTTTATTTTATTTATTTATTTTTTTGAGATGGAGTCTCACTCTGTCGCCCAGTCTGGAGTGCAGTGGCACGATCTCAGCTCACTGCAACTTCCGCCTCCTGGGTTCAAGTGATTCTCCTGCCTCAGCCTCCCGAGTAGCTGTGACCACAGGCGCATGCCACCACATCCCACTAATTTTTTGTATTTTTAGTAGAGATGGGGTTTCACTGTGTTAGCCAGCATGGTCTCGATCTCCTGACCTTGTGATTCGCCCTCCTCGGACTCCCAAAGTGCTGGGATTACAGGCATGAGCCACCGCACTCGGCCAATGCAAAGGTTCTTTTATGGTCAAGGTTTTCAGCTTTTTAATCATGACACTGGATTATTGGCTTCCTTGTTTGCTAAGACATTATTGATGTCATTCCTTGTTGACATGACTCAGAGAAAAGAATTTTTAATATTTGATTATGTCAACAATTGTGAAACATTACTGAGAGCATCAAAGTAGAAGAGGGTGAGATGAGTACCTTTGTTGAATGTCTTATTGCTACAATCAGTAAATAACTGTAAAGATGCAAGAATAACATATCTCCACACCCAGATTCAGTCACTGCTAATATTTTGCTATATTTTGTTATGTATTTTATTTTTGCCTGTTCTAGACCACATTTATCCACAATTTTGCATCCTGCTTTTATTACACTTAACTTTAATACCATAAGCAGGTTACTAGGTTATTAAAACTCTATGTAAAGATCACTTTTATAAAGAGTGATCTTTATTAAATTGACACATAAAGGTTGTTTGCAGTGGGTTTTTTTCTTTCTTTCTTTCTTTCTTTCTTTTTTTTTTTTCTTTTTTTTTGAGACAGAGTTTTGCTCTTGTTGCCTAGGCTGGAGTGTAATGGTGCGACTTCAGCTCACTGTAACCTCCGCCTCCTGGGTTCAAGTGATTCTCCTGCCTCAGCCTCCCAAGTAGCTGAGATTGCAGGTGCCTGCCACCACTCCCAGCTAATTTTTGTATTTTTAGTAGAAACGGGGTTTCACCATGTTGGTCAGGCTGGTCTCGAACTCCTGACCTCAGATGATCCACCCTCCTTGGCCTCCCTAGTGTTTCTTATTATAAATACTTTTGTGTGAAACATCTTTTCAAACAAACCTCTTTCCTTGTTACTTATAATTTCATTGAGATTCTTAGGAGTGAAATCATTAGGTCAAAGGTGTAACTTTTTGGAGCTATTGATATGTATTGCCAAACTGCTAAATAGAAAGGTTGTACCAGTTTATGCCCCAACAGAAGTTGATGAAAATACAAAAAGAGAATGCCCTTAGGCTTCATTAATTTAGTCACAGTCATGTGAGAATTTATGCTTATGGTAAACAGAGCATTGGTTAAAGATAAACAATTGAAATATTTTTGTTTAAGATAAAATGAAGGCAGAAGGCATCCTTAAAATGCTAATAAATGCTGAGAATTTAAAAAGATCTACTAGGAGTGTGCCAGTCTTCCCGATGTCCCGCTCCCTCAGTGGGGGATGTTCCTCCCGCGTTCCTCCCACATAGATGCAGTTGGAAGGAACATCTCTCTCCAAGAGACTAGACATTGGGAAGACTGGCACACTCCTAGCAGATCTTCAGAGGGAAGGCATTGAGAACAGTTGGAGGGAAGACACAGAAGCTGGGCTGGAGAGGGAGGAAGCTGAGAACCCCACACAGAGCTGCCATGCACTGGGACTATTCCTAGCCCCCAACAATTCCTGCGGAGGGGGTGAGTTAACTGGCAAGGAGCAACCAGCTTTCACCACAGGCCTCTTGAATCCCTACTGGAGGAGACCCCTCAACCACCACAGACTCTTGAGTTGGCAGGGAAAGCTGCTTAGAGAAGTTGTAAGGGCAGAACTCCAGCCATGGTGGAGCCCACAGTATTTGGTAGTGGAGGACGTCCAGAGATGCCTGCCCCACTAGGCTTGACTTGCTCCTGTAGGAGACTTTAACCCTAGGAAAACTGTCTGCTCTGTGTGCTGCAGGGCGATCTTGCCCATGAGAAGAAGCCAGTCTGATCTGAGCACCCCTCAGTCTGCTGGTGTCTTCTGGAGCCCCAGCCTGGCCATGCCTGCTTGCAATGCAGCCCCCAGATACCTCCTGGGGTCCCACATCATAGTTCCTGCCCTGGTGGACTGTGTCCCCGACCAGCAGAGTACTCCAGTAGAGTGGCCCCAGTGGACAGGAACCAGCCTACCTGCGCCCCGCCCCCACTGCAGCCTCCTTCATGCCACCTTGCCTACAGACACTCGCCCAAGGCCACCCCCTATATTGCTTTCCCAGCACACATGTGTGGGTGGCCCTACCTTTCCCTTCCCTGCCAGTGTGTGGGTGCATGTGCACCCTGCCAAGCCACTGCTGCAAGTGCGAATGCACCCCGCCCTCCTTCCTCTCGCCATACCACCATTGTCATGGGCACATTGGCAGTCATGGAGCCCTCTAGCCCCACCCTTGCCAGCACTTCACTCTGCGCTGGAGCTGCTAGTGGGAAATCAGGCAAGGAGAACAGTGGACCTGCCCCCAGCCCAGAGTGGCCACTACCACTCATGTGAATGAGCACAAAGGGTGCACACAGTCCTACACCCACCAGCACCCTGCCCTTGTGCTAACACCACCACTGCACTGATGTGAATGTGTGCACAGTTGCTGGGGGGGTCCCCACTCCCCCTGAGCCTTATTGCCACCACTACTGTTGGGAAGGCCCACGTGGAGGCCAGCACCCTGGCCCTGGGTAGCCCCCTGCTGCAGCCAACAAGCATGCAAGCACGCACCCTGTGACACTGCCACTACCACTGCTGCTGGCACATGTAAACAAGAATGGATCCTGCTGCCACCGCCTTACAAAGTGCTTTAGCTGGCACCACCCATCAGAATGTTGTGACCAGCAGTCCAAGAGCACCTTAGCCCCTCCAGCACAGCAGGTTCCTAACCTTGAGGAGCCAGAGATCAAATCCAGGGCCTAATACCAGGCTCCCAGAGTTAGAGCATGCAGTACAGGAGTCCTGAGCTGAGCCTTGATCCCCTAATATCTTCCAGTAAGGAAGCCAGTCAACTGAATCCACCTTACACCACAAACTCCAAGATCATCAAATAGGATTTTAAAAAACCCAGAAAACTCATCCAAAGTTGAGCAACTTCAAGGACTGAAGAAATATCAGCCCAGAAAGATGAGAAAGAATCAGTGCTAGAACTCTGACAACTTAAAAAGTCACCATATCTTCTTTCCTCCAAACAACTGCACTAGTTCTTCAGCAAGTTTTCTTAACTGGGCTGAGATGGCTGAAATGACAGAAACAGAACTCAGATTATGGACAGGAATGAAAATCACTGAGATTCAGGAGAATGTTGAAATTCAATCCAAGGAAGTTAAAAATCACAATAAGAGTTGGGCGTGGTGGCTCACATCTGTAATCCTAGCGCTTTGGGAGGCTGAGGTGGGTGGATCACCTGAGGTCAGGAGTTCAAGACCAGCCTGGCCAACATGGTGAAACCGTGTCTCTACTAAAAATACAAAAATTTGCTGGGCTTGGTGGTGCACGCCTGTAATCTCAGCTACTCGGGAGACTGAGGAAGGAGAATCACTTGAATCTGGGAGGTGGAAGTTGCACTGAGCCGAGATCATGCCACTGCACTCCAGCCTGTGTGATGGGAGAGAGACTCCATCTCAAAAAAAAAAAAAAAAAAAGAATCACAGTAAAACCACACAGAAGCTAACAGACAAAATAGCCAACATAGAAAAATATGTAACTGACCCCTTAAAGAGCTGAAAAACACTCTACAAGAATTTCAAAATACAATTGCAAATATTAACAGCAGAATAGACCAAGCTGAGGAAAGAATCTCAGAGCTTGAAGACTGGCTTTCTGGAATAAGGCAGTCAGACAAGAATTTTCAAGAAAAGAATGAAAAAGAATGAACAAAACCTTCGAGAATTTCAAGAATTATGGAATTATGTAAAGAGACTGAATCTGTGCTTACTGATGTCCCTGAAAGAGATGGGGAGAATGGAAGAAACTTGGAAAACATGTTTCAGGATGTCGTCCATGAGAACTTCCCCAACCTAGCTACAGAGGCCAAACTTAAAATTCAGGAAATGCAGACAACCCAAGCAAAATACTTCATGAGAAGGTCACCCCCAAGACTCATAATTATAAGATTCTCCAAGGTCTAAATGCAAGAAAAAAATGTTAAAAGCAGCTAGAGAGAAAGGACAGGTCACCTACAAACGGAAGCTCATTAGACTAACAGCAGACCTCTCAGCAGAAACCCTGCAGACCAAAAGAGATTAGGGGCCTATATCCAAAATTCTTTAAAAACAGAAACTCCAACCAAGAATTCTATATCCGGCCAAACTAAGCTTCATAAGCAAAAAAGAAATAAGATCCTTTTCAGACAAGCAAATGCTGAGGGAATTTGTTACCACTAGACTTGCCTGAGAAGAGCTCTTAAAGAAGCACAAAATGTGGAAAGGAAAGACTATTACTAGCCACTACAAAAACACACTTAAGCACACAGACCAGTGACACTATAAAGCAACCACACAAACAACTCAGCATAATAAACAGCTAAAATCACAATGACAGGATCAAATCTGCACATATCAATACTAACCTTGAATGCAAATAGGCTAAATGCCCCATTTAAAAGGCACAGTGTAGCAAGCTGGATAAAGAATAAAAACCCAATGGTATACTTTCTTCAAGAGACCCATCGCACATGCAATGAGGCCTATAGGCTCAAAATAAAGGGATAGAGAAAAATCTACCAAGCAAATGGAAAACTGAAAAGAGCAGGGGTTGCCATCCTAATTTCAGACAAAACAGGCTTAAACCAACAAAGAACAAAAAAGACAAAGAAAGGGCCAGGTGTGGTGGCTCACACCTGGCCAAGGCGAGCAGATCACAAGGTCAGGAGATCGAGACCATACTGGCTAACAGGGTAAAACCCTGTCTCCACTAAAAAAAAAAAAAAAAAAAAAAAAAAAAAAAATATATATATATATATATATATAGAGAGAGAGAGAGAGAGAGAGAGAGAAGGGCACTACATAATGGTAAATAGTTCATTTCAACGAGAAGACCTAATTATCCTAAATACATATGCACCCAACACAGGAGCACCCAGATTCATAAAGCAAGTTTCCTAGAGGCCTTCAAAGAGACTTAGACTCCCACACAATTACAGTTTGAACCTTCAACACTTCACTGACAGTATTAGATAGATTACTGAGGCAGAAAATTAACAAAGATATTCAGAACCTGAACTCAACACTGGACCAAATGGATCTGATATCTGGAGAGATCTACAGAACTCTCCACCCCAAAACAACAGAATATACATTATATCATCCACACTCTTGGACCACAGCACAGTAACAATAGAACTCAATATGAAGAAAATTGTTAAAAACCATACTTTTACATGGAAATTAAATATTCTGCTCCTGGATGACTTTTGGGTAAACAACATACCAGAATCTCTGGAACACAGCTAAGGCACTATTAGGAGGAAAATTTATAGTACTAAAGGCCCATATTAAAAAGTTAGAAGGTATCAAATTAATAATCAAACATCACAACTAAAAACTAGAGAAACAAGAGCAAACCAACCCCGAAGGTAGATGAATACAAGATATAATCAAAATGAGAGCTGAACTGAAGGAGACTGAGACATAAAACACCACTCAAAAAATCAATGAAACCAGGAGCTGGCTTTTTGAAAAAAATTAATAAGAAAAATAGGCTGCTAGCTAGACTAATATAGAAGAAAAGAGAGATTTAAAAAAACAATTAGAATTACCACTGACCTCACAGAAATACAAATAACCAACAGAAACTATTATGAACACCTATATGCACACAAACTACAAAATCTTGAAGAAATGGATAAATTCCTGGACACATACACCCCCTCCCAAGACTGAACAAAGAAGAAATCGAATCCTTGAACGGACCAGTAATGAGCTCCGAAATTGAATTCATAATAAATAGCCTACCAACAAAAAGAAGCCCTGGACCAGACAGATTCACAGCCAAATTCTGCCAGATGAACAAAGAAGAGCTGGCACCATTCCTACTGAAACTATTCCAAAAATAAATAAATAATAATAATGAGGAAGGACTCTTCCCCAACTCGTTCTGTCAGGCCAGCATCATTCTGATATCAAAACCTGGCAGGGACATAACAACAAAGAAAACTTCAGGCCGATATCCTTGATGAATATAGATGCAAAAATCCTCAAAAAAATATGAGCAAACTGAATGCAGCAGCACATTAAAAAGCTCATCCACCACAATCAAGTAGACTTTATCCCTGGGACACAAGGTTGGTTCAACAAACACAAACCAATAAATGTGATTCATCACATATACAGAATTAAGGACAAAAACCACATGATCACCTCACTAGATGCAGAATAGGCTTTTGGTAAAATTTAACATCCTTTTATGTTAAAAACCCTCAACAAACTAGGCATTGAAGGAACATAGCACAAAATAATAAGACACACCTATGACAAACCCACAGCAAACATCATACTGAATGGCAAAAGCTGGAAGCATTCCCCTTGAAAACTGGCACAAGATGAGGTTGCCCTCTCTCACCACTCTTATTCAACATAGTATTGGAAGTCCTGGCCAGAGCAATCAGACAAGAGAAGAAATAAAGGGCATCCAAGTAGGATGAAAGGAAATCAAACTATTCCTGTTTGCAGATGACATGGTTCTATATCGAGAAATCCCATCATCTCTGCTCAAAAGATCCTACATCTGATAACAACTTAAGTTTCAGCATACAAAATTCATGTACAAAAATTACTAGCATTCCTATACATCAACAACAGCCAAGCTGAGAGCCAAATCAGGAAGGCAATCCCATTCACAATAGCCACAAAAAATATAAAATACTTAGGAATACAGCTAACCAGGGAGGTGAAAGGTCTCTACAACGAGAATTATAAGTCACTGCTCAAAGAAATCAGATAAGACACAAACAAATTGAAAAACATTCTATGCTCATGAGTGGGAAGAATCAATATTGTTGAAATAGCCATACTGCTCAAAGCAATTTACAGATTCAGTGCTATTACTATCAAACTACCAATGACATTCCTCACAGAACTAGAAAAAACTATTCTAAAATTCATATGGAACCAAAAAAGAGCCTGAATAGCCAAAGGAATTCTAAGCGAAAACAACAAAGCAGGAGGCATCACACTACCTGACTTCAAACTATACTACAGGGCTATAGTAACCAAAACAGCATGGTACTGGTACAAAAAGAGAAACATAGACCAGTGGAACAGAATTTCCCAGAAATAAGTCCATTGATAAAAAAGAAATGGGGAAAGGACTCTCTATTCAATAAATGGTGCAGGGATAACTGGCAAGCCATATGCAGAAGATTGAAACTGAACTCCTTCCCTGCACCGTATAGAAAAATCAACTCAAGATGGATTAAAGACTTAAATGTAAAACCCCAAACTATTAAAAACCCTGGAAGACAACCTAGGCAATACAATTTTGGACATAGAGAACTGGCAAAGATGTCATGATGAAGACACAATTTTGCAATTGTCAAAAGCAATTGCAACAAAAGCAAAAATTGACAAATGGAATCAAATTAAACTAAAGAGCTTCTGCAGAGCAAGAGAAGCTATCAACAGAGTAAACAGACAACCTACAGAATGGGTGAAAATATTTGCAAACAATTCATCTGACTAAGGTCTAATATCAAACATCTGTCAGGAACTTAAATTTACAAAAAAATAAACAACCCCATTAAAAAGTGGGCAAAGAACACGAACAGACATTTTCAAAAAAAAGACATACTTGCGGCCAACAAGCATATGAAGAAAAGTTCAATATCACTAATCATTAGGGAAATGCAAATCAAAACCACAATGAGATACCATCTCACACCAGTCAGAATGGCTATTAATAAAAAGTCAAAAATAACAGATGCTGGCAAGGTTGCAGAGAAAAGGGAATGCTAATACATTGTTGACAGGAGTGTAAATTAGTTCAAACATTGTGAAAAGTAGTGTGGTGATTCCTCAAAGAGCTAAAAACAGAGCTACCATTTGACCCAGCAATTCCATTACTGGGTATATACCCAAAGGAATATAAATCATTCTGTTGTAAAAAACATGCACACCTATGTTCACTGCAGCACTATTCACAATAGCAAAGACATAGAATCAACCTAAATGCCTATCAGTGGTAGACTGGATAAAGAAAACGTGCTGCATATACATCTTGGAATACTATGTAGCCATAAAGAAGAACAAGATCATGTCCTTTGCAGAAACATGGATGGGGCTAGAGGCCATTATCCCTAGCAAACTGACGCAGGAACAGAAAACCAAATATTGCACGTTCTCACTTATAAATGGGAGCTAAATGATGAGAATACATGGACACAAAGAGGGAAACAACAAACACTGAGGTCTACTATGAGAGTGGAGGTGGGGAGGAGGGAGAGGATCAGGAAAAATAGCTATTGGGTACTAGGCTTAATGCCTGAGTGAGGAAATAATCTGTACAACAAACCCCCATGACACAAGCTTACCTGTATAACAAACCTGCATATGTACTCCTGAACCTAAAAGTTAAAAATAAATAAAAATAAAAATAAAAAATTTATGGTAACACACAAATATATATATATATTTGAATTATGAATATATATATTCATAATTCGTAGCTGGGGAAACTTTGCAAGCAATTTTTAAAAGTCCATTTCTTTAATAATGAAAATAATCCCTTATATTTGCAGCCTGCTTAAGAGTTTTCCAAATACTATTATAAATTATCTTTTATTAATTACCATGAACTTTAGCAAATTCTCTTGAAATAACTCAGGGCCTACCAGAAACCTTCAAAAGCAAAATCACTTTCAAAAATATATGACAAAATTGTCTTGTGTTGTAAATTTATTTTCTTCGTTAGTTTTAAAATTTATATTCCCATGAAAGATCTCTCCTCTGGGTAAGGAATAAACTCTATGGCATGATTCTTTCTTTTCCAAGCAGCATAGGAAGGTACGCCTAGGAGATGGGCTGAATAGTGAGTTTATACCCATCTGTCTTTGCATCTTCTTCATATCAAAAGTAGGAAAAATACTCATGGATTGGAAGAATCAATATCATTAAAATGGCCATACTTCCCAAAGCAATTTACAGATTCAATGCTATTCCTATCAAACTATCAACATCTTTCTTCATGGAATTAGAAAGAAAAAAAAAACTCTTTTAAAATTCACATGGAACCAAAAATAACCCTAAATTAGCCAAAACAATCTTAAGCAAAGAGGACAAAGCCAGAAATATCACACTAGTCAACTTTAAACCACACTATAAGTCTACAGTAACCAAAACAGCATGGTTCTGGAACAAAAACAGACACATAGACCAATGGAACAGAAAAAAAAAAAAAAAAAAAAAAACCTCAGAAATAAAGCCACACACCTACAACCATCTTCCACAAGACCAACAAAAACAAACAATGGGTAAAGGACTCCCTGTTCAATAAATGGTGCTAGGATAGCTGGCTAGCCATATGCAGAAGAATAAAACTAGACCCCTACTTTTCACTGTGTACAAAACTTAACATGGATTAAAGATTTAAATGCAAGACTTTAAACTATAAAAATCCTAGAAGTAAACAGAAAATACCCTTTTCAACAAATTGATCTTGGCAAAGAATTTTGACAAATTCCCCACGAGCAATTGCAACAAAAACAAAAATTGACATGTGGAACCTAATTAAAAGAAAGAGCTTCTGCACAGCAAAAGAAATTATCAACAGAGTAAACAGACAACCTACAGAATGAGAGAAAAGTGTCACAAGCTATGCACTGACAAAGGTCTAATAACCAGAATCTATAAGGAACTTCAACAATGGAACAAGCGAAAAACAATCCCATTAAAAAGTAGGCAAAGGATATGAACAAACACTTCTTAAAAGAACATACAAGCAGCCAAGAAGCATATGAATAAATGCTCAGTATCACTAATCATCAGAGAAATGCAAATTAGAACTATGATGACATACCATCTCACACCAGTCAGAATACCTATTATTAAAAAGCCCCAAAACAACAGATGCTGGTAAGGCTATGGAGAAAAGAGAAAGTTTATACACTGCTGGTGGGAATGTAAATTAATTCAGCCACAGTAGAAAGTGATTTGGAGATTTCACAAGGAACTTAAAACAGATTTACCATTCAACCTAGAAATCCCATTATTGGGTATATACTCAAAGGAAAATAGATTATCATATCAAAAAGACAGGTGCACGTGTATGCTCATTGCCATATTATTCACAATATCAAAGACATGGGATTGACCTAGGTGCCCATTAAAGGTGGATTGGATAAAGAAAATATGGTACATATACACCACAGAAAGCTACGTGGCCATAACAAAGAATGAAATCGTGTCTTTTGCAGAAACATGGATGAAGCTGGAGGCCAGAATACTAAGCAAATTAACATAGGAAGAGAAAACAAAATATATCATGTGTTCTCACTTAAAAAAAGTGGGAGCTTAACATTGGGTACTCAGGGACATAAAAATGGGAACAAAAAATACTAGGGATGAATAGATGGGGAGCGAGAGAGGAGGGCATGGGTTGTAAAACTACCTATTGGGTACTATGCTCACTACCTGGGTGCAATATATCCATGTAACAAATCTGCACATATACTCACTGCATCTAAAATAAAAGTTGATTTTTCTAAAAAAAAAAAAATAGGAAAAAAGAGAGCATGTCGCAATTCTCTGAAGACACCAGGCACATCCCTACCTTGGGATTTTTCCACTTGCTCTTTCTTTAGCCTGAAACATTCTGCCCAGATACCATCTGGATCCATCCCTTGCTCCCTTCCTCCAAGTCTTTGCCCAGAGGGCACCATCTCAGCCAGGCCTTCTGGCATAACCCTATTTAGAAGTGCAGCCACCAACCTCTCCCCACTACCAAAGTCACTCTCTTTCCTTTTTCCTCCTTTATTTTTCTGCATTGCACTTATTACCATGACTTCTGTTTGTTTGTTTTACTTAGTTACTTGTTTTTGTCTGTTTTCTCACAGGAGAGTATGCACTCCATGAGAGCAAGGGTTTTTGTCTGCTTTATTCACTGTCGTATTTCCGTTACCTAGAGAAGTGACCCGTACACAGTAAGTTCTTACTTACTATGTCTTTGTTGAAGGGAAGAATGACGAAATGAATGTGGGGCCTGGAATTGTCTAGCAATATTTCTGGATAAGCTATAAAGCAAGATAGTACTCTTAAGGGGAATCTTTGTCTTTGATGCCTGTCCTGCTAATAGCTTGCATTAGAATGTAACAGTTGTCCCAGGGATAGCTAAGGAAAAGAAGAGACTGAGAACAGCATTTATTTTTATTTATTTATTCATTTATTTTTGAGATGCAGTCTCGCTCTGTCACCCAGGCTGGAGTGCATTGGCGCGATCTCGACTCACTGCAGCCTCCGCCCCGCAGGTTCAAGCAATTCTCCTGCCTCAGCCTCCCAAGTAGCTGGGATTACAGGGACACACCACCATGCCTGGCTAATTTTTGTATTCTTAGTAGAGATGGGGTCACACAACATTGAACAGGCTGGTCTCCAACTCCTCACCTCAGGTGATCCACCCACCTCGGACTCCCAAAGTGCTGGGATTACAGGGGTGAGCCACACACCCACCCGGGAACAGCATTTATTAAAGTGTATCAGACAGACTCTGGGGAGTCAAAAAGCTCCATGTTTGACACTGTCTTGCCATATGACCCTGGGCAGTTGGTCAACATCGCCAAGGCTCAGTTTTCTTACCTGTAAGATGAGAATGAGGGTACCTGCCTCACGAGATTGCCATGATTATGCAATGAGATGACATGTGGCACACAGGAAATGCTCAGTAAATGTCGGCCTGCATTGATATGCAGCAGATATTGAGATAAGCATTTAATGTACATAATTATGCTTAATGATCACATCAGTGTTAGGAAGCCTATAAGCTCTTCCCAACATGTATTCTGTGAGTCTCCCAATAAGTCTGGACAATGCTATGTAATTCATACCTCCAGTGGAGGTTTATCTTATGCAGTAATGCATCAGGAACGTCTGCAATAAAAAGCCCCGTTTAACTTTAATTGGATTTAATCAAGCATTACCCACAAGATGCTTTTCTCTTTTTACACAGCACTTATTATCATTATGTGAAGATGGTGATTTCAGTAAATGCCCTTTAATAGAGACAGAATACACATTTTTTTTTTCCATTTAACAGATGAGAATGCTGAGGCTCAGATAAGTTCAGTGCTTTACACAAGGTCACAGAGACAACAGTGTAAGTGCAGATATGCTAACCCTGGTCAACCTGATTCAGGAGACTAAGCTTACCACCACCTCACTCCACACAGCCCCCTAGTGTCTAGCTTGATTATGACTACTGCATAGAATGATGACCTACAACGCAGCTGCACTTCTAGACTTTTCGAAAATTCAAGACCAACTGGAAAATGAATTTGAGATGAGATTGTATTCAGTGAACCATAAAACCCCCATATTACATGAACTCTCTGGCTTGACCATGATTTAATGCTAATGATGATTTTCTTCTTTCTGATATTTCTGTTGTAGGCAGGCAAACAAAAGTAAGGCCATTATCTAAAACATGTATGAAAACAGCAGAATTAGCTTACAAAGAAGAAAACACAGAGAATCAAATTAAAATCAATTAATTAGAAACACATTAGTACAAATATGAAATCTGAAGCTATTTTTCTCTTGTCAAAGAGAACATTTGAAAATTTCAATACATTGAGTGAGGAAAGTTGATCTTCAAAAACGTTGTAGGTTTCAATTGTTAGTTACCCAGGGGTGATCTTAGACAGAAATTCCAGCTAAACAGGCAGCCTTGGTTACAAAGAAACATGGCTTCATGTTTGGAGACAATGCTTACTTGGTTTCTGAATCGAATCAGCCCTAAATTCAAATTTTCTAACTATTTAGTCCATTTTTAAAGTCTGAGGCCATGGGATTCACAGATAAACAGAGAGAAACTCAGAATTTTGATTGGAAACAAAGGAAAGAAAAAGTGCATAATAAATAGGGAAATCATGTTTGAAGATAAAGAGCCCTTTATTCTCAACTTCCAATAGAATTTCCAAGTATTTCCAAGTAGGGGTGTACAAAAGGGACGAGACAACCCAGATGAGACGAGATGCCAGAGCAACATCCCAATTGCAAATTGTATTTGGTGCCAAGACAAATCATCATCTCAATTTAGATAAGTTGGAAACAGTTTATCTCCCTTTTATCTAGCATACTATATGAGACAAATAAGACTGGAAAGGGTGTCTTAAAAATTGGACCACGTATCGATGTAGCTCAGTTTGTTTTGCAATACTAAGTCAGTGTCCCTTAATAACTACCAAAAGAAGGATTGGTAGAAATACTCAAACTGTCATTGTCATTTGTCTGAACTATGAGAAGCATACCCAAGTTCTTATCTCAGCCCCAGACTGATCCACATGGGCTTCTCTCGAGACCTTTCATGTTTACTTCCTTATTTGTTCTGCTGGTTAAGACAGCAGACATGTCAGATCTAAGCAAGGCTTCCTGGGCATGCCTTCGTGCAGTGGTACAATGGCAAAATTACTATTCAGGTGATTATCAGTGGCAACATGAACACTGATTTCCAGGAAGAACATAACATTTTCCTCTGTACTATTGGCCAAATCCAGGGAATGGGACACAAGTGCTTGGAGAGTGATTTGTAACTGTCAATAACAGCAAATTCTCCTAGACTTCCCAACACTCAGATGAGTAGCCCTGGAGTACTGTCAGGAGAAAGGCCTTCTTTATATTCTTATGGTGTTTTTAAGGGATAATCGCATGCACATTTTTAACATGTTACTCTTTTTAAGATAATTAAAGACTTTGATTTTGCCAGAAATGCATTTGAGGCAGGCCTTACGATATCAATCTTAGAGGTTTGGAGGAGTCTGAGTGTCTATGTTTAGTGCAATTTGTACACATTTTGAACAAGGCAGAACTATTTATTTTGAGATCTCAATGTTTCCAAGCAACCATGCACTACAAAATATTTTAGAAAAGTCTTTTGGCAATGGCTAATAAGAATTTTCCATATGTGTGAATATGCATAGCGACAATGGGCATAAAAACGCATTTCAACTTCTGCCACTTCTTGGACCTGATCTTACCTTAGAAAGAAGTAACAGAGATTGAGCTGCATGCACAGGCTTGTTGCAGATAGTATCTTAAGACAGCCAACTATTTTTTTTCTTTTTTGACATGTGAAGTGATTACACATGATATAAACTGCAAAACCAATGCTGTAGTTTTTCTCAAGAAGGTATATTTCTAAGTTCATTTTTGTCAAGCAGTTAACCTTCTGGGGAAAGTGCCCTGTAGGCTAAACATTTTCTGCTCTTTCTCTAAATTCTTTAAACAAATGAAAATGCCTACTTGAGATTGTCTATCAAATTCTTTCATAATCAAAGGGATAGGTGGGGAAAGAGGGCATGAAATGAATCACTATTATTTATTAGTATATTTACTTGGTACTTGCAGGTGGCATTTCTAGAACTTGCCTATCTGGCTGACAGAAAAATTGAGTTGGACAATACTGTTTCTCCATTATGGGAGTCATGAAACTTGATACTTTGATGTTGGTTGTTAGGGCAACTTCCAGTCAACTGGCAGGACCTACCTTTCGGGGTTAACTTCTGGTTTGTCTGTACCTCATAGAATTGGTTATATTATAATTTTTTCCCCTATCTGATCATGAACATTTTGAAAACTTTTATTTGCACAGGGATCATCTTTAAGTTGGAATCATGTGTTGGCAACATTCTATTTGTTATACTAACCAGAAAACAATTGCTCAGTTATCTATAATTCAAGTTTTATGCCTCGGTAAGTCTTCTGGGGAGCCTTATAAATAAATACAGTATATCATTAAATGCTGAAATCCTTTCAAAGTTCAGACACTCCCTATTGAGAGCTTGATGTATTTTAACACTCTGTTCATCTAACTCCTTGTGTTCTGAGTCTAAACAGATTCTGATTGTCATTTGTCTCCCCAAGTAGGTCTGAAATTCACTAATGATGCCAGCATGAGTATTCTGATTTTATGACAGTTCTATTTCTCACTGCAGCATAGTACTTTGGATACATATGAATGATGTTCTTCATTGGTTAGTGTCAGTCTGCCTGGCGATCTCTTTGCATTAACAAGATCTGGTTTCAGAGTCCACAAAGCTGAAAGCCAGACTGTGGTCCATGGTAGGTAATTTCTCCAAGGCCTTTGTGGGTGGTCAGACCGCTGGTCTTCTCCCCAGGGGAAATTCTCAGGCATCACCATGTGGAGACCATTCTAAATTCCTACAATGTTCTTTGTATTTTTGTTGTAAGGAAGTTTAGAAGCTGTATGAGCAAAAGAATTGTGAAATTGGAGGTGGATGTTGGGGAAATCGAGGGGATAATGGTGTAGGGAGAACACTGGCTTTGAAGGGTGGGAGCACTAAGTCAGGCAAGGAGAGGGGCTCTATCCCTCTATAGAGAGTCTACAACATTGCTGGCATACCAGTGTGTGGGGAGACGGAAGGCTTCCACAGAAGGGAATGTTTATCCAATGATAGCCAAATTTTGGAGGATGAGGAAAATAACAGTTCCATATCTATATTAACTTGAATTTGTCTCTATGTGGTATCATTAGTCACTGCTCCAAACAGAGTTAATGGGAATGTTATGGCTCAATTTCTGTGAACTAGGAAAGCTTATCAAGGGAGCTGACACTTCCTAGCTACTGATGGAATTTATCTGTGTTAAATGAGTCCACTCGGGGATGTCACACACATTATAATTTCTGCCCCACCAGGATAACAAAATATTAGAAAATATTCACACAGATTTAGAAGGGAAAAAGAGAAAGCTTCTAAAATTCAATTTCTTCCTTCCATTCTGCCCTGAACTTCTAGTGCAGAAGACTTAAATGGACACAAATTACACACAGTAATAATCATCAACAGAGCTTAGTTATATTTTAGACTCCAATAGTTCACAGCATAGTTTTTGAAATACAGGTTGTGATTATGCAGGGATGTCTCTTTTTAAGAAAGAGTAGCATGAAAGGTCATAAATGATAAATTGGAAATATCATGAAAAGCTGCTGCCTGGGGGGAAAGCTGCCTAAATGGCTTGCAGTCCAAGGAAAACATTCACATATAGTCATGCAGATGCACAAAGTCATTTTACTATGTTATTTAAATAGCAAATTATCGCTGCCTATGAACACTCGATTGCTGTAGCCAAGGAATAAGGCCATGTCAAGAACACTGTAACTGTGTTATAAAAGACTCTAAAATCCAGAAAACTGGTTATAGAACTAATTATTCCAGTTAAGGATCATCCACTTAGTTCATTGGACTACACTGTATTTTAATTAAATTATGTTTTCAGTAAGAGAGGTGCTATGGTTAGGCTTTGTGTCCCCACCCAAATCTTACCTTCAGTTGTAATCCCCATAATGACTATTGGGTGTGAGTACACCCAAATCTTATCTTCAACTGTAATCCCCATAATACCCACACACCCAAATCTTATCTTCAATTGTAATCCCCATAATACCCACGTGTCAAGGGAGAGATTAGGTGGAGGTAATTGAATCATGGGGGCAGTTTCCTCCATGTTGTTCTCGTGATCGTGAGTGAGTTCTCACAAGATCCGATGGTTTTATAATGGTCTCTTCCCACTTCACTCAACACTTCTGCTTCCTGCTACCATGCCAAGAAGGACATGTTTGCTTCCCCTTAGTCTTCCACCACGATTGTAAGTTTTCTGAGGCCTCCTCAGCCATGCTGAACTGTGAGTCAATTAAACCTCTTCACTTTATAAATTATCCAGTCTTGGGCAGTTGTTCATAGTGTGAAAACAGACTGATATAAGGAGTGAAAATCAAATGGTTTACAAATAGTAGCAGCATTAGTTAAAGGAATAGCCAAGAATCCTGATACTTGTCTTTGCTAACCTCTGTACTATTTACATTAAGACTTATGGCATTGAAAGCCTAGACAGTTTTAGTCATTTTCCATTGTAATTGTAGGGGTGGGGTGGAAGGATTAGGCAAGAGGACATCTCGCTAAAGAATCACACACCCAGTCTTCTTTAAAGCCTGTTGAAGAATTCTTCACTTTAAGTCATCAGTATGTGACTTTCAGATTCAGTTTTTTAAATATGCTAAGATAAGACTCTCTGGGGGGGATGTGTGATATAAAGTAACTAAATTAATGGAGGTAGCTAAATCTTACAAATTTTTTAGGGGCTACAAATAGTGATTTAATCAATGTTTCTGGACAGGTTTTCTTCCTTCCTCCACCTCACCCCAAGCCTTCATTTCTAGGGTTTTCACAAAAAGTACGTGTGTGTGTGTGTGTGTGTGTGTGTGTGTGTGTATTAAAATCGACTTGATCAGAGTTAGAAGTTTCCTTAAGAAATGTTCTCCTGATAACTAAGATGCTAAAATATTCTTTGGTATAAGACATATTGCTAACAATTTCGCTAGGATGCTAAAAAAGATGACTTTTGTGTCTCATTTTCTTTTTTTAAGCTTTTATTTTAGGTTCAGAGGTACATGTGTAGGTTTGTTATATAGGTAAACTCGTGTCATGGAGGTTTGTTGTACAGATTATTTAATCGCCCAGGTATTAAGCCTAGTACACAAAAGTTATTTTTCCTCATCCTCTCCCCCTCCACCCTCATAGTAGGCCCCAGAATCTGTTGTTCCCCTCTTTGTGTCCATGTGTTATCATTTAGCTCCTACTTATAAGTGAGAACATGCAGTATTTGGTTTTCTGTTCCTGTGTTAGTTTGCTAAGGATAATGGCCTCTGGTTCCATCCATGTTGCTGCAAAGGACATGATCTTGTTCTTTTTTATGGCTGCATAGTATTCCATGATGTATATTTACCACATTTTCTTTATCCAGTCTACCATTGATAGGCATTTAGGATGATTCCATGTCTTTGCTATTATGAATAGTGCTGCAATGAACATATATGTGCATGTGTCTTTACGATAGAATGATTTATATTCCTTTGGGTATATACCCAGTGATGGGATTGCTGGGTTGAATGGTAGTCTGCTTTTAGCTCTTTGAAGAATCAAGGGAGTTTAAATTAGTGGAAACTTTGTTCTCATTTTTAAGTTCTGCTGACCTGGGACTGAATAAAAGCTCTTCTACTCATAGCTATGTAACCTTGAAGATGTTATTTCCATTCTTTGAATTTTAGTTTCTTCATGTATACAAATGAGGTTGATTCCTAACATCCAGGGCTGTCATGAGGATTTAATTGGATAAACTACACAAATTCTTTGGTGCCTGGATTATAATAGGTGCTCAGTATTAGTTTTCCCTAAAATCCATTCAACCTCAACTATATATCAGTCTTCCTTGCTACTGTGTTAACAAAGTTTATTCATTATTAATGGATTTAATCAACAAAGGATTGTATGCAAATTGTCTATGATACTGTTATAACCATTATCAAAGGCAATAAGTGAAATATACTTTAATATTATTTTTCCAGCCAGAGAGTACTTAATTAACCCTTCTTCAAATCCTAATATGCATAAAACAGCATGGCACTGGTATAAAAATAGATACATCAAGCAATGGAACAGAATAGAGAGCTCATAAATAAACTCACACAGTATGGCCAACTGATTATTGACAATGATGCCAAGAATATACAATGGAAAAAAGGCAGTCTCTTCAATAAATGGTGTTGGTAAAACTGGATGTCCACATGCAGAAGAATAAAATTGGACACATCTCACAGCATATGCAAAAATCAACCCAAAATGGATTAAAAGATTTAAATGTAAAACTCAAAACTGTAAAACTGCTGGAAGAAAACATAGGGCAAAGACTACCCAGTATTGCTCTGTACAATAATTTTTTTGAATTTGACCACAAAAACACACGCAACAGAAGCAAAAATAGACAAATAAGATTACATCAAACTAAAAGGCTGCACAGCAAAAGGAACAAATAACAGAACAAAAAGACAACCTACAGATTGAGGAAAAAATATTTATAAGCCATGTATTCAATTAGAGACTAATATCCAAAATATAAAAGGAACTCAAAAATTCAATAGCAAGAAACCAAAAACAAAATAATTTAATTTAAAAATGGGAAAAGTACCTGAATAGAGACATCAGCAAAGAAGACGTATAAATGGCTAACAGATTTGTGAAAAAACACTCAACATCACTAGTCACTTAGGGAAATGCAAATTAAAACCACAATGAGATATCACTTCACAATAGACAAAATGGCTATTTAAAAAAAAAAACCTAAAGATAACAAATATTGGCAAAGATGTAGAGAAAAGGGAACTTTTGGACACTGTTGATGGGAATGTCAATTAGTATAGCCATTATGGAAAATTATATGGAAGTTCCTCAAAAATCTAAAAATAGAATTACCACATAATACAGCAATTTCACTTCTGAGTATTTACCCAAAATATTTGAAATCAGTTTGTGGAAGGGGTGTCTACACTCCCAAGTTCATTGCAACATTATTCACAATAGCCATGTAATGGAATTAACCTAAGCGTTCATCAACAGATAAATGGATAGAGAAAATGTGGTATATATACACATTGGAACATTATTCAGCCTTTAAAAAGAAGAAAATTCTGTCATTTGTGACAACATAGATGAAACTGGACAACACTATGCTAAGCGAAATAAGCCAGGCACAGAAAGACAAATGCCTCTTGTTCTCACTTACATGTGGAATCTGAAACAATCATTCATAGAAGCAGAGTGTAGAATGGTGGTTACAGAGGCTGGAGGTGAGGGGAATGCGAAGATGATGGTCCATGGGTACAAAGTCTCAGACGCGGGAATACCTGTTTGTTTTAGATTTATTGCACAACATGGTCAATATAGTTGATAATAGCATATTGTACATTTCAAAATATCTAAGGGAGGCCAGGTGCGGTGGCTCACGCCTGTAATCCCAGCACTTTGGGAGGCTGAGGCAGGCAGATCACGAGGTCAGGAGATCAATACCATCCTGGCCAACATGGTGAAATCCTGTCTCTACTAAAAATACAAAAATTAGCTGGGCATTGTGGCATGTACCTATAATTCCAGCTACTCGGGAGGCTGAGGCAGGAGAAATGCTTGAACCAGGGAGTCAGAGGTTGCAGTGAGCCAAGATCACGCCAGTGCACTCCAGCCTGGTGACAGAGTGAGACTCTGTCTCAAAAAAAAAAAAAATACACACACACACATATATACACACACACACATATATCAAAGAGAATAAAGTTCAAATGTTCTCACCACAAATAGGCAAGTATTTGAGGTGATGGATACAGTAAGTAGCTTGATTTAATGGCTCCACATGTATTCATAAATCGTAACATCACTTGGTATCCCATAAATATATACAAATCCAGTTTGCCAATTTACAGTGAAATAAAAAATTCTAATATGCACATAAATTCCACTGGCAGGAAGATTTTATAACAGGACATGACATGTCAGGAGACTAATATATCTCAGCCATAGCTCATAGGGCTTCTTTACCTCTCAATCAGTGTGATTTTATTGTTCACACTTTACATGAGACACAGGCACTTTTTCTCAACTTACCTATTTCATGGTGGTGGCATCAGGTTGTAGCTTCTTGGGGTTTGAGACTTTGGTATCGTGCCGCTTATTCAAACTTAAGTTCCACTATTCTAGCTGTTTATCTCTTTCTTTTTTCCTCTCTCTCACACACAGGCACATAAATTCCCCACAGACATCTCTTTACTCTTGCTCATATGCCTTCTCTTCCCCAGAATCTTGCCCAAATCCTACCAATGGCTCAAGACTCAGATCAAGTACTATTTCCTCTGATCGTTCTTCCACTGTTGTCTTATTCAGCAAATAAAGGGGTGACTAGATGCAGGGCACCATGCTATGGAGACAAAGAAGACAACATGTGAATCCTTCCACAATTCTAAATTCAAGAGCCAGGAATACAAAAACATAGATGTAGTCAAATATCACAGAATCTAGACTAAAGGGATTAGGAAACCATAGACTGAACCAAATGGTCAATTCAGCTTGGTCAAGGTGATACGGTGTAGAAAACACTTCATGGGTATGGGGTCATGAATCTGACTCTGTGTACACAAGTATCCCTTACACTCAAGCAGATGTCTATCAAGTAGAATGGATATAAATTATAGTGGAGAGGGATATTCCTCAAAGAGGGATGTGACATGTGAAAACACAAGAGATTGAAGGATCCTGTCTTATTTGGACCTGAAAGAAGTTGCATGAGATAGACACAGAGGGGTGAGGCAAGAGATAATTTAGGGAAAGTTAAGGGATGCTAAATCCTGATCATTTTCTGTTCATTCAACAGAAGTTAGGCATTGTCCTCAAGAAACCAGGGAGCCCCTGAAGGTTTTTAAACAATGAGAGCAAATGAGAAGATGTATGTTTTAGAAAAATCTTTGGAAGAAGCAGGAGGATAGAGGAAGGTGAGGTTGGAGGCAAAGTACAGATTGAAGATTGTATCAGCTCTTGGGGTAGAACATAGCTCACATTTTCTACTTGAAAGTTCCATTGTGCTGATAGTCAGAACTTTATTTTGCCGCTTAGTTGTTCTATTGTTATTACATTCATCAGATTTTCCTCTCTACTACTATATTGAAAAGTATTCCTGCCCTGACACAGCTTACAATGTTTTTTGGTACCTCCTCTGCTAACCTTCTGCAACAGCCTCATACACACACACACACACACACACACACACACACACACGCGCACACACACACACACACACACACACATCTCCGAGGAAAAAGATACAAATAAAGAAGATGGACAGGCTTTCCTTTCCGTCTGGCGGCAGCCATCAGGTAAGCCAAGATGGGTGCATACAAGTACATCCAGGAGCTATGGAGAAAGAAGCAGTCTGATGTCATGCGCTTTCTTCTGAGGGTCCGCTGCTGGCAGTACCGCCAGCTCTCTGCTCTCCACAGGGCTCCCCGCCCCACCCGGCCTGATAAAGCGCGCCGACTGGGCTACAAGGCCAAGCAAGGTTACGTTATATATAGGATTCGTGTTCGCCGTGGTGGCCGAAAACGCCCAGTTCCTAAGGGTGCAACTTACGGCAAGCCTGTCCATCATGGTGTTAACCAGCTAAAGTTTGCTCGAAGCCTTCAGTCCGTTGCAGAGGAGCGAGTTGGACGCCACTGTGGGGCTCTGAGGGTCCTGAATTCTTACTGGGTTGGTGAAGATTCCACATACAAATTTTTTGAGGTTATCCTCATTGATCCATTCCATAAAGCTATCAGAAGAAATCCTGACACCCAGTGGATCACCAAACCAGTCCACAAGCACAGGGAGATGCGTGGGCTGACATCTGCAGGCCGAAAGAGCCGTGGCCTTGGAAAGGGCCATAAGTTCCACCACACTATTGGTGGCTCTCGCCGGGCAGCTTGGAGAAGGCGCAATACTCTCCAGCTCCACCGTTACCGCTAATATAAGTAAAGTCTGTAAAATTCATACTTAATAAACAATTTAGGACAGTCAAAAAAAAAAAAAAAAAGAAGATGGACAGAAAATGCTTTTATTTGACAGATTCCTCAAGAGGGATTAATAGTACACAGCAGTATGAGTGTGGTCAGCAGCAGTGAATGTCCTATACACATATAAGCTCTTAAAAGATATTTGAAGGCTAAAGAAACACACTAGAGGGTTGGAATGTGTCTGTCTTGTGATTTTTTAATCCTTTGGCTATTTATTCTACATAACCTAATTTAATTTGAACATTTGCATATAAAAATGCCTGGCCACCATCAACTAATACTCTAACTTTGACTTCACTAAGTTTGTGAGATGACTTTTGCCATGAACACGTTACCCTCCATTTTTCCAAGGGAGTGTTTTTGGAACCTAATCAAACTGAGAATTTGCATTCAAAGGTATCCATTTTCTAACTTGCAAAGCTGACTTTTTAATCAGACTTCTTATCTGCAAGCACAAATTGGCCTTTGCTGAATACATCATCTTAATTGAGAGAAGATTGTATTATAGGTGTATAAAAAAAGATACATGCTGTTAAGGTGTAATGGAATTTTGTGGATAAGTGGGAGGTTAAAGTAAGGGAAAACTCCCTTACTTTAGGTGTCCTATTCTTGATTTTAAAATTCATGGGTCTGGACACAGTGGCTCACACCTGTAATCCCAGCACTTTGGGAGGCCAAAGCAGGTGAATCACTTGAGCCCAGGAGTTTGAGATCAGCCTGCATAATATGGCAAAACCCTGTCCCTACAAAATACAAAAATTAGCTGGGCATGGTGGTGTATGCCTGTGGTCCCAGCACCTTGGGACGCTGAGGTATGAAGATCGCTTGAGCCTGGGAGGTCAAGGCTACAGTGAGCCGTGATCATGCCACTGCACTCCAGCCTGGATGACAGAGTAAGACCCTGACTCAAAAAGTAAAATAAAATAAAATTCACGTAACTAAATAATTATGTGGACTAAGACAAGGCTATGGGCTTCTGCTTTGAAATCATTTTTTCCCTAAAGCCAACAACATTTTTTTCCATTGGCCTTCAAGACACATTGCAAAACACTTTAAAAAATTCCTGCATTGTGATAGTAATAAGTGGAGATCTAAACATTTAAGATTTTAAATTTATATGGATACGTGGGTCTAGATGCTAGAAATTTTAGATGATTCTGTAATAAACCAGCCATTCTATAAGGCTATCTGAATTCTCTTGAAAAGGTGCATGTCTGTTGTCATGAATCTTTTGGCAGTCTGCTAAACTATAGTTAGAAGAGTGTATGAGTCAGTGTAGAAGAGAAAGGGACAAGGTGGGATAGGTGAAGAAGAAGAAAAGAAAGGAAAGGAAGAAATGGTTTTCTAAAAAGTGGAAGAAGTAGACAGCCCCAGTGCAGCAGAAAGGGAAATATCAGAGGCAGAGGCAGCAACAGAAAATGAAAACTAGAGCCTGCCCAGGAATCCACAACATAGCCAACTCCCTTCATATCTGTCCCCGCCCTCTTCTGCTGTGTCCTCTTGTACTGCAAAGTTAGAAAATGAAACTACATTACCCAAACTCCCTTGCAGCTGGGGTTTATAGACATGGTCTATGTTCTATTGATCAGCATCACTCCTGAAAGACTTGAATTTAGAACCAACCAAGTGAGGAGCAATGGAGAGGCAGGTCATACATGCATTTTCAGATGAAAATATCAAAGGAAATACCTGGCTTTGGAGCCAGTCAGTCTAACGGTGTCTCCCTCATCCCCGGATCGCAGCTCAGGCCATGTGCTCCTATAGCCAAACATAGCAGTGACAATCTGAGCCCTGGACTGCAGGAAAGTTCAGGACAATGACTTCCTGATTCCCATGCCTTTTGATTGTGATAGAGATAGGGCTTGCTTCTCTAGGATCTGATTCTCTGTTTTGAATCTCTTATTGCTTCTGTTATCCCTTACTTATACCTGATTGATAGGTGCCGTTGTTACTTAGTGGCCCTAAAGGAGCCATGGGGGAAAAAAAGCCTGGGCAGTAATTACAAGATAAAACTTTACATTGTGATTATCAGTGTACGGGAGGCACGCAGATTATACATGCTACATCAGTATTGGCAAAGATAGTCAACTCCACTATTCAAAGTTCAACCCCTCTTTATCATCAACTTTCCTGGCTATAGCTCCTAATATGAGATTAAGAAAAAGCAAAACTTTTGAACCAAGCACCTGATAATGCTCATAGGTCTTCATCTGGTGAGCACTCAGGGTATCACTGACTGCTGGTTAATATTAAATTTGAGCAAGTTTAGTTTTATAATTTCTTATTATATTGATCAGAAACTAGAAGTATGTAATTATTAATTATAACCTAAAAGTAATACAGACACAAAAATAGATTACACATGAACACAAAATACAAATATTGATATTATTTTGGAGTTTAAAGGCTTACAATGCAATAGATGAAAACACCTTATTCCACAAATAATGTCAGATAAATGAAGTGTAGTAATTTCCTCAAAATAGATAAAGGAAACATATAAGAAACACAAACAACTCTATAGAAAAAAAATCTAATAATTCAAGCAAAAAATGGACAAAAGATTTAAACAGACATTTCTCAAAAGAAGACATACAAACGGCAAACAGGCATATGAAGAGGTGGTCAACATCATTGATTATCAGAGAAACGCAAGTCAAAACTACAATGAGATATTTTCTCACCCCAGTTAAAATGGCTTATGGCCAAAAGCTAGGTAAACAACAAATACTAGCAAGGATGCGAAGAAAAGGGAACCCTCACACACTGTTGGCGGGAATGTAAATGAGTACTACTACTGTAGAAAACAGTTTGGAGGTTCCTCAAAAAGCTAAAAATTGAGGTACCATATGATCCAGCATTCCTACTGCGGGGTATATACCCAAAAGAAAGGAAGTCAGTATATAGCAGAGATATCTGCACTCCTGTGTTTGTTGCAGCATCATTCACAGTAGCTAAGATTTGGAAGCAACCTGCGTCCCTCAACAGATGAATGGATAAAGAAAATGTGGTACATATATACAATGGAGTACTATTCAGCCATAAATATGAATGAGATCCAGTCATTTGCAACAACATGGATGGAACTGGAGATCATTATGTTAAATGAAATAAGCCAGCCACAGAAAGACAGACATCACATGCTCACCTATTTGTGGGATCTAAAAGCCAAAACAATTGAGCTCATGGACATAGAGAGTGGAAGAATTGTTACCAGAGGGGTAGTGAGGGGCTGGGATGTGGGGGAGGTGGGGATGTGTAATGTGTACAAAACATAGTTAGAAGAAATGAATAAGATTTATTTGATAGCACAACAGGGTGACTGTAGTCAATACTAAATTAATTGTACATTTTAAAATAAAGAGTGTAATTGGATTGTTTGTAACTCAAAGAATAAATGCCTGAGGGAATAGCTACCCCATTCTCCATGATGTGCTTATTTTACATTGCATGCCTGTATCAAAACATCTCATGTACCCCATAAATATATACACCTACTATGTACCTATGAAAAATAAAAATTAAAAAAAATTAAAAATTAAACAAACACTTGCAGATAGAATCAAATGTGTGTTCTCCCACCATGTGTAAATCATCAAGAGAAGTTGGACTAACACTAAAAAACCTTGAGAAATTATCCCTAATTGAGTAAATAGGAAATAATGAAAATGTTTCTGGAGTTAGCTTAGAAGAATGTGTGGCATAGGCACATATTTGTTGAGTGTACTTCTTTTTCTGGTCATGTGACAATAAATTATAAGCCACATTAAAATGTTCCCACCACTTTTTCACATAGGCTACTCAACATGGTTACTAAATCAAATTTATGAAGTTTAACCACCCTGCCTTTCCTGGCTTTAAGGCAGGGCCCAAGAACACAGCCCTTGCATGAATCCATGACATCAATTATTGAATAGGTTGTTCTTGTTTTATGCCCTATTCTCTGAATTCAAAGGGAAGCATAGGCCAGGCATGGTGGCTCACGCATGTCATCCAAGCACTTTGAAAATCGGAGGCAGGGGGATTGCTTGAGCCCAGGAATTCAAGACCATCCCGGGCAAGATGGCAAGACCTCCCTCTCTATAAAAAATTTAAAAATTAGTCAGGTGTGGTGGCATGAGCCTGTAGTCCCAGCATTCAGGAGTCTGAGGCAGGAGGATCCCTTGAGCCCAGGAGTTCAAGGCTGCAGTGAACTATGATCATGCCACTGCACTCCAGCCTGGGTAACAAAGCAAGACCTGTCTCTCAAAGAGAGAGAGACAGACAGGGAGAGAAAGAGAAGCATAAATAGATAGATGGATAGATAGAAAGACAGATAGAAGAAAAAAGAAACAAAGACTTCTCCAAAGCATCTTATTAAATGAAAAATCAGTTCGCAAAAATGATTCATAGGGTATAATCCCACGTGTTAAAATGCATCAAAAGTAGAGTGAAAGACTCAAAGGATGCATAATAAATGTTTAATAGCAATGCTTCTGGGAAGCAAATTTGGGATGGAGAACATATGAAATGAGGCAACGAAGGAGCACAGAGAGGAATTGCCAGAAGGCTGGAATCATTTTTGACTCCCTGTCCACCCAGATCTAAATCAATCACCAAGTCCTTTCAATATTGTCTTCTTCATAACTTTTGAATTTGTCTATTTTGAGAAGTGGTCATCCTCACTCCCTAGTCTGGGCAAGGGAAGATTACGTGCTAGCAGCACTTCACATAATTGGGGAAATGACAAACTATGCAATAAATGAGTGTTGACCATTGCCTATGAATTTGATGAAAAAGATAGAAACCTCCTACTTCACACCATAAACAACATACACATCTGTGACTTCAGCTTTGAGGTACTCCTCTAAGTGGTCTCACTGCTTCACTTTTGTTCACCTGCGCCATCTCACTGCAGCCCCAAATCCATGCTAATGCCTGAGCCATAATTCTTTTTTAATTTTTAAATTCTATAATTATGTATTATACAATTATATATTATGCATAACCTGATTTTCAGTGTAGAATATTCAGAAGATATTGAATTATTCAACCATTTCCTTTATGAACCTCCCATGTCACGTCCCCACGCATTCTCCATCCTAAATTCCATTCCCCTCCCCAGGAGCACTGTAAGTGTCTTACTATGCATCTCGCATTTCCCTCCTGTGCTTCTTAACGTACAATTGAGTGTCAGTTTTTGAAAAAAATAATAAATTATACCCCGTCTATGGTACGACTATATCATATGTATTATTCTGCAGCTTGATTTTCTCTTTACCAATCTGACTCATAGAAGTTTTCATGTAGATATGTAAGGTCTGCCTTAATCTGTTTAATTCCTGTAAAACATTTCATGAGTAAATATATTGTGATTTACTTATTGATAGCTATTCAGGCTGATTCTAATTCATTGCTATTAAAAAATAAATTAGAGCTGGGTGTGGTGGCTCATACCAGTAATCCCAGCACTGTGGGAGGCCGAGGCTGGAGGATCACTCGAGTCCAGCAATTCAAGACCAGCCAGAGCACATAGCGGGACCCCATCTTTTAAAATTAATTAATTAATTAAAAATACTGCATTCGTGTGACAGAATCATTTTTTGTAGAATACGCTTCCTAAAAGTAGGATGCTGGGAGAAGGGGTATGCATTCCTTCATTTTTGATAGACACTGCACAGAATTACATTCTAAAATTACTCATTAGCACTTTCAATAAAAGTGCCTGTTTTTGCATATACTCATGCACAATTGATTTTATCTTTTAAATGTTTTCAATTCTAGTGGTAAAATATGATATTTGTTGCTTTAATTATTAATTCCAGACATATTGATTTTTAATTCTAGAGCTATCAACCATCTTTTGTTTTTGCCTGATATGTCTATTCCTTTGTTTTGACAAATACCTGCATTTTCGTCTATTTTCATAGATTTGTTAATTGATCTGTATGAATTCTGTCCATCCATCAATCTTTTGTCTGACATACAAAGCTTTTGGATTTTTTCTTATGCTTTAGACTGGCCTAGCCATAGATTTAAAAATTTTTCTATATTGTTTCTCCATAAGCCATTGGGAATGCATGTTGTATATGATGTGAAGTAGGAGGGTCCTATCTTTTTTATCATTCATAGGCAATGGTCAAAGCTCTTATATTGCATAGTTTTCATTTCCCCAATTATGTGAAGTGCTGCTGAATAATAAACTACAACCTCATATATACATAGTCTGCTACTGGTCTCTCAGCCTTTTGCCCTAATATATTTTTATATTTTGTGTCATTACCACAATGCTTTAATTTCTACAGCTTAATGACATGTTCTTATATCTAGTAATGCAAGTTCACTCTTCTTTTAAATAATTCTCTCGGTTACTTTTATAAACTTATTTGATGAAATTGTGAGTCAGCTTATCAAGTATCATGAAAAATCCCATTGAGATTTCAATTAGGGTTATATTAATTGCATGGAATAATTTGGAGAAAAACAATTATTTTACAAAAGTGAATCTTCTCATCCAAGACACGGGTAATTACTTGAGTCTTTTTAAATATCTGTCACTACATTTTTATGGTTTTATTTTATTGGTTTTGTATATATTTCTTGGGTTTATTACTAGGACTTCTCTTTTTATTTTTACTGTGGAAAATAGAATATTTTTATTCAAAATGTTATAATTAGTTATTTCTGCTATGAGGGATTTTTTTTTTTTTTTTTTGAGACAGAGTCTCACTTTTTTGCCCAGGCTGGAGTGATCTCGACTCACTGCTAGCTCCACCTGCCGGGTTCACGCCATTCTCCTGCTTCGGCCTCCTGAGTAGCTGGGACTACAGGCGCCTGCCACCATGCCCGGCTAATTTTTTGTATTTTTAGTAGAGACGGGGTTTCACCATGTTAGCCAGAAAGGTCTCGATCTCCTGACCTCATGATCCACCCACCTTGGCCTCCCAAAATCCTGGGATTACCGGCATGATCCACCGCACCCAGCTGGGAAATTTTTAAATTTACGTTTTAATCTTATATGTATCTACTTTTTATTTATTTCATTTTACTTTATTTTGTGAGACATATTCTTTTTTTTCTTCCAACTTTTATCTTAGGTTCCAGAGGTACATGTATGAGTTTGTTACGTGGATAAATTTCATGTTGCCAGGGTTTGCAGTATACAGATTATTTTGACACCCAGGTGCTAAGCATAGTACTCAATAGGTAGCTTTTCAATCCTCACCCTCCTCTCACCCTCCATCTTCAAGTAGGACCCAGTGACTATTGCTCCCTTCTTTGTGTCCATGTGCACTCAATGTTTAGCCCCCACTTATAAATAAGAAGATGCAGTATTTAGTTTTCTGTTCCTGATTAATTCACTCAGGATAACGGCCTCCAGCTCCATCCATGATGGTGTAAAGGACATAATCTTGTTCTTTTTTTTATGACTGCGCAGTATTCCACAGTATATAGCACATTTTCTTTATCCAGTCTACTATTTATGGGCATCTAAGTCAAGCATCTAAGTTAATTCCACGTCTTTGCTATTGTGAATAGTAATGCAATGAACATACATGTGCATATGTGTTTATGGTAGTACGATTTATATTCCTTTGGGTATACAGCTAGTAATGGGATTGCTGGGTTGAATGGTAACTCTGTTTTAAGTTCTTTGAAAAATCTCCAAAGTACTTTCCATAGTGGCTGAACTAGTTTACATTTCCATCAGCAGTGTGTAATCATTCTCTTTTCTCTGCAGCCTCACCAGCGTGTTATTTTTTGACTTTTTGGTAACAGTCATTCTGACTGGTGTGAGAGGTTATCTCATTGTGGTTTTGATTTGCATTCTCTAATGATTAGTGATCTTGAGCACTTTTTCATATGCTTGTTGGCCATGTGTATGTCTTTTTCTGAAAAGTGTCTGTGCATGTCCTTTGCTCCTTTTTTAATAGGTTGCTTGCTTTTTGCTTGTTAAGTTTTTTAAGTTTCTTATAGGTTCTGGATATTAGATCTTTGTCAAATGCACAGTTTCTTAATATTTTCTCCCATTCTGTAGGTTGCCTGTTTACTCTGTTGATAGTTTCTTTTGCTATGCAGAAGCTCTTTAGTCTAATTAGGTCCCATTTGTCAATTTGTCTTTTTATTGCTATTGCTTCTGCCATCTTCATCATGAAATCTTTGCCAGGACCTATGTCCTGAATGGTATTTCCTAGGTCTTCTTCTGGGGTTTTTATAGCTTTAGGTTTTATGTTTAAGTCTTTAATCTATCTTGAGTTGATTTTTGTATGTGGTCAAAGAAAGGGGTTCAGTTTCAATCTTCTGTACATGGCTTGCTAGTTATCCCAGCACCATTTATTGAATAGGGAGTCCTTTTCCCATTGCTTGTTTTTGTCAACTTTGCCAAAGATCAGATGGTTGTAGGTATGTGGCTTTATTTCTGGGCACACTATTCTATTCCATTGGTCTATATGTCTGTTTTTTATACCAGTCTCATGCTATTTTGGTTGCTGCAGCCTTGTAGTATAGTTTAAGGTTGGGTAATGTAGTGCCTCCAGGTTTATTCTTTTTGCTTAGAATTGCTTTGGCTCTTCAAATTCTTTTTTTGGTTCTATATGAATTTTAGAATAGTTTTTTCCAATTCTGTACAAAATGTTATTGGTAGTTTGATAGGAATAACACTGAATCTGTAAATTCCTTTTGGCCGTATGGTCATTTTAGCAATATTATTTCTTTCTATCCATGAGCATGGAATGTTTTTCCATTTGATTGTGTTATCTCTGATTTCTTTCAGCTGTGTTTTGTAATCCTTGTTGTGGAGATCTTTCACTTCCCTGGTTAGCTGTATGCCTCGGTATTTTATTTTATTCTTTTTTGTGGCTATTGTAAATGGGATTGTGTTCTTGATTTGGATCTCAGCTTGGATGTTGTTGGTATGTAGAAATGCCACTGATTTTTGTACATTGATTTTGTATCTTGAAACTTTGCTGAAGTTGTTTATCAGCTTAAGGAGCTTTTGGGCAGAGACTACAGGGTTTTCTAGGCATAGAATTATACCGTCTGCAAACAGAGATAATCTGACTTCTCTCTTCCTATTTGGATGCCTTTTATTTCTTTTTCTTGCCTGATTGCTCTTGTTAGGACTTTCAGTACTATGTTGAATAGGAGTGATGAAAGAGGGCATGCTTGTTTTGTGCCAGTTTTCAAGGGGAAAGCTTCCAGATTTGCCTGTTCAGTATAACATTGGCTGTGGGTTTGTCACAGATGGCTCTTATTATTTTGAGCTATGTTCCTTCAATGCCTAGTTTGTGAGGGTTTTTAACATGAGTGTATTTTGAATTTTACCAAAAGTGTTTTCTGCATCTATTGAGGTGATCATGTGTGTTTTTGTTGTTGTTGTTGTTGTTTTTAGTTATATTTATGTGATGAATCACATATACTGATTAGCGTATGTTGAACCAACCTTGCATCCCAGGAATAAAGCCTACTTAATTGTGGTGGATTCGCTTTTTGATGTGCTGCTGGATTTGGTGTGCTAGTATTTTGTTGGGAATTTTAGTATCTATGACAAGGATATTGGCCTGAAGTTTTCTTTTTTCACTGTGTCGGCCAGATTTTGATATCAGGATGATGCTGGCCTCATAGAATGAGTTAGGGAGGAGTCCCTTTACCTAATTTTTGGGGAATAGCTTCTGTAGGAATGGTACCAGCTCTTCGTTATATGTCTGGTAGAATTTGGCTGTGAATCCATCTGGTCCAGAGCTTTTTCTAGTTGGTAGGCTTTTTATTACTGATTCAATTTGAGAACTCATTATTGATCTGTTCAGGGTTTTAATTTCTTCCCAGTTCCATGTTGGGAGGTTGTATGTCTCCAGGAATTCATCCATTTACTGTGGGTTTTCTAGTTTGTGTGCATAAAGATGTTCGTAATAGTCTCTGAAGGGTTTTTTGTATTTCTGTGGGGTTGGTGGTAATGTCTCCTTTGTCATTTCTGATTGTGTTTATTTGGGTCCTCTCTGGTTGTAAAGTCATAGCCATTGCAGGAATGGGAAAGTAGGGAAATCCAGTGGCATCCAAGTGGATGATGGGAGGCGGGACCACTTCTGAGCTGAGATTCAAAGTCCCTGGCTCACACTCCATTGTACCTTCAGACTTCTCTTACAAAACGCAAATTCAATGATAAAATAATTAAGAATTTTAAGAAGGTACCACAGAGCATTGATTCTAAGGACAGGGTCCTTCTGAGCCTTACACCCAGTGCAGCTGCCCTGGCCACCAGCCCACGAAGCTGGCCCTGAATCTGTGACCTAAGAAAAGTTCCCCTAACTTCTCTGAGCCTCAATGTCTTCACCTATAAAATGGGCATTATGAAACCTACCATACCAAGCTGTAATGAGCCTTAATAAGTAATGTACCCAAATCTCAGAGCAAAGCACTCTGTTGTTTTATAAGAAGTTAAATATCTACTGCTTAAAAGAAAAGACCCAATACAACATTTCAGGGGACATTTTGGTAATGCTTAAAAATATTTTCAAAGTTTACTCAATAATTTAACCCTAAGCCTTTTTATAATATGCTTTGTGTTGGGTTGTAAAGTGGAAAAACAGCCATGGGATAATTTTAGATTTTTAGCCTACACCTGAACCATACCGCATGGAAAGTGGTTCTCAGTCACTGTTCATGATGGGCCTGAAGGGCTGAGATGACACCGCATCCTGCGCTCCACCCTCAGAATATCTGGAGATAAGATGCAGGAATTTATGTTTTGTGTAAGTCTCTCAGGTGATTCATACACACAAATTTTTCTCTCAACATTTCTTATGCTCTCCTCCTAGATTCTACTTTTCCCATTTTGCTGCACAGTTTGCCTTCTGTATCTGCAGGTTCTGCATCATAGATTCAACAAATGGAGGATCAAGAACATTTGGAAAAAAATAATACATCAATAGAAGTAATACAAATTATAATACAGTGTAAGAACTGTTTACATAGCATCATATTGTATTGGGTATTATAAGCAATCTAGAGATGATTTAAAGTGTAGGGGAATATGTGCAAAGTTTATTTGCAAATACTTTATATTTAAAGGACTTGAACATCCACGGATTTTGGTATCCTGGGGGTCATGGTACCAATCCCCTGTGGATAACAAGGAGCAAATTGTACTTGCTTTATTACATATCCATCCATCCAAACCTCAGACCGTATGTCAATCTAAGGGAGGAGACCACCCCTCATATTGTCTTATGCCCAGTTTCTGCCTCCAAAGAAAGAAGAAGTTAAAACTAAAAGACAGAAATGAAATCCACAAGCAGACAGCTCGGCACCACACCCTGGGCCTGGTAGTTAAAGATCGGCCCCTGACTTAATCGGTTATGTTATCTATAAATTACATACATTGTATAGAAAAGCACTGTGAAAATCCCTGTCCTGTTCTGTTCCGTTCTAATTACCGGAGCATGCAGCCCCCAGTCATGTACTCCCTGCTTGCTCAATCAATCACGACCCTCTCACACGGACCGCCTTAGAGTTGTAAGCCCTTAAGAAGGACAGGAATTGCTCACTCGAGAAGCTCAGTTTTTGAGATGTGAGTCTTGCTGAAGCTCCCGTCCGAATAGAGTCCTTCCTTCTTTAACTCTGTGTCTGAGGGGTTTTGTCTGCGGCTCGTCCTGCTACAAATCGATCTACTGTTTTTTCTAATTCATCTTAAAATAGATTGCAGACATTCATGTACTTCATCCCTAAATACTTCAGGGTGTATATTATAAGAGTTCAGCATTTGAGCTGGGCATGGTGGCTCACACCTGTAATCCCAGCACTTTGGGAGGCCAAGGCAGGCAGATCACCCGAGGTCAGGGGTTTGAGACCACCCTGACCAACAAGGAAAAACCCCATCTCTACTACAAATACAAAATTAGCCAGGCGTGGTGGCACATGCCTGTAATCCCAGCTACTCAGGAGGCTGAGGCAGGAGAATCACTTGAACCTGGGAGGCAGAGGTTGCGGTGAGCCAAGATCGCGCCATTGCACTCCAGCCTAGGCAATAAGAGTGAAACTCCATCTCAAAAAAAAAAAGAAAAGAGTTTACCATTTGTTTACAGGGTTATTTTTCTACTGAGGTAAAATTACATACAATGAAATGGACAGATTTTAGGTGCACATTTACTGAGCTTGACAGATGCATACATCTGTGCCATCTGAACCCCTGTCAAGATCCAAAATATTACCATCAGCCCCAGAAAGTTTTCTCACGCTCATGCTCATTACCAGTAAATAGATATGTCCAGTCTCTCAGACAAAGCCACCATTCAGATCTTTTCCAACATAGATTTGTTTGCCTGTTTTAGAACTTCATGTAAAGGAATCATGCAGTTGTATACTTTTTTGCAAGGTTCCTTTCATTGATCAGGATTTTTGCAATCCATCCATGTTGCTGCATGTATCAGTAATTTGTCCCATCTTATCTCTAAACAGTATCTCACCATATCAATATACTACCATTTGTTTATACATTATCCTACTGATAGACATCTGTGATATTTCCAATTTAAGGCTATTATAAATAAAACTATGAACACTTTTGTACAAGCCTTTATAGACTTACCTTTTCATCTCCCTGGTGTAAACACTTACAAATGGAATTGGTGGGTCGTAGAGCAAGTGTATATTTACTTTTATAAAATAGAAGCTCTTTTTCCAGTGTGGTTATAGTAGTTAATACTCTCACAACCATCTTGATGGTTGCTCCTCATCCTCGTCATTTAGTGAGTCTTTTAAATTTGATTTTAGTCATTCTGGTAGATATTCAGTGATAACTCATTGTGGTTTTAACTTGAATTTCTCTGATGACTATTGCTTTTGAACACTTTTTGCATATCCATTGGACATTCAAATATCTTTTCTGTGAGGTGTCCATTTAAATCTTGAGCCATTTTTAAATGAGTTGTCTTTTTATTTTTAAGTTGTAAGAGTTTTTTTTTTTAATATATTCAGGATTCTAGATATCCTTCACCAGACACATTTTGCAAATAGTTTTGCTCAATCTAAGCTTTTCTTATTTATTTATTTATTTATTTTTATTTTGAGACAGAGTCTCTCTCTGTCGCCCAGGCTGGAGTGCAGTGTTGCTATCTCGGCTCACTGCAACCTCTGCCTCCCGGGTTCAAGCGATTCTCCTGCCTCAGCCTCCGTAGTAGCCGGGATTACAGGCGAGTGCCACCACGCCCGGCTAATTTTTGTACTTTTAGTAGAGACGGGGTTTCACCATGTTGGTCAGGCCGGTCTCGAACTCCTGACCTCAAGTGATCTGCCCGCCTCAGTCTCCCATAGTGCTGGGATTACAGGCATGAGCCATCGTGCCCGGCCAGCTCTTCCTTTCTTAATAGTGTCTTTTGAAGAACAGACTTTAAAATTTTTGATTCAGTTCAATTTAGTACTTAAGTCATGTATGATTAATGCTCTCATACTAATCTTCGAGTATTTTGCTGTATATTCTCTTATCTTCTCGAAGTTCCTAGCTAAACCATACTGTGAACCAGCAAACCTCTCCTATTTCCTTTGCTCCTCATTCTGTGACATCATTCTTCTCCAAGTCTCTGAAAGATAAATTCCAAAAAAGTGAACTTAACAGGCACTTTTAAATTAAAAAGTCCCTTGTGCACTATGCCAGCGTTTGGTAATTGCCGTGTTTAGAGAACAGCACAGGCTGTCTTTGTTTCCTGTTGTTCATATTCTTCAGAGTCACACACTTCTTTCTACCTTAAAAAAATTCCCAACAGTGTCGAGCTCAAGGCCATGATTTAATGTCTTCATAATTATGAAATTCCTGTGAAAAGGGAAGGGAAAGATTGGGATAATCCTAGTGAACTCCTTAGGCTCTCTCTCCCTCTTTTACCCCAATTGTCTGCGTTTAGAAACAATCACCTACAGATCTTACAACATCTGTCAGAGAGGCTTAGTAAGGCCATTATCTTCCATGAGAAAAAGCAGACACAGGACTAAGGCACCTTGCCTAAGGCCACTGAGGAGAGCTTGGAACAGAAGCCAGTCCCCTATCAGGAGATCCCAGTTGCCTCTGAAATTCCACGATCAGAACAGGCAGAACACAAAAGAGAAATCCACTGAGGAGAGGAAATGTTTTCCCACAAAAGCAATTTCCTCCAATTTGTATTTCAGCAACAAATTTGTTTCCAGTTTCAGATGCCACTATTCAAAAATGACCTGTTGCCTTTTGATGATAATGGAACCTCTCTCATTCTTCAATGACTTGCTTGTAAATATTTATCAATACGGCTTGGCCCTTCGCCCCCTTTCTCTGGCTTTATTGTGGTGAGCCCCCAGCACCGCCAACATTTCTCAAACCTTTGTGACTGTGTGTCTTTCACGTGGGTCTGTGTGCTTTCTCCTTTGGTCTATGAGGTGCTATAAACATTTACAACTGAACTGTCAACATGTATAAATAAAGAACTGTAAATTTTTACAGTTCAGTGCCCTTTATTACGCTTTTATGCTCTTTCATGGATCCAGAAGATTTGCTTTATCTCCAGAAACTGAAGCAATAGATTAGATTACTTTAAACGTGTTACTTAGTCCCAGTTGCACTAACATCCTGAAATTGCCCCATTCCTATAATTAGATGTGTTTTCTCTTTAGTTAGGATATGGTTTATTACTGACAGAAACAAAGTCTTGATTAAAATTTCAGTCATCCTCTCATTGTCAATTATAGTTGTCTAAGGCGGTAGTTCCAAAACTTTTAGCAGGTCTCGGAATTTCCTGGAGAACTTGTTAAACAAAGATGACGGAGCCCCACCTCCAGAGTTTCTGATTTCCGAAGTCTGTGATGGAGCTGGAAATTTGCATTTCTAACAGCATCCCTAGGGATGTTGACGTTGCTTGGTTCAGGAACCTAAAGCATTGGTTTGGTTCTTCCCCTTGAAGAAAACGAGGATATTTCCTTTTGGTTTGTATTTCAGCAAGTGATCACCTTATTCCTGCATGCTGAGCTTTGCAGAATCTTGAGGTTTTGTCTTCACAGAATGCAGGATTTGCCTCAGGCAAAATTGGAGACTAAGCAACCCTCACACATGGACGAAGACACACCTCGAGGCAGCAGGGGTCCCGGCAAGCAGCCTGCCCAATCCCAGTGGCTCCCAGTAGTGCTGGGCCTCTGCTCTTTTGGTGAGGCCTCAGGAGAACATTCTCATTTGTTCTTTGCTTCCTCCACATCACCACCTATTCCTAGCCAGCTACTTTTGTAACTTCCTCTGCAGGTATATGTTAATCAGGAGGCCTGACTTCTCACTCTAGTTCACCCTCCACAGCCCCAACTGTTAAGCAGACCTCAAGGTTTACCCACACCACAAGACTCAGCCGAAATCTTGCCCTCTCCTCCCACTTACACCCTGGAACTTTCAGCCGTTCTCCTGTGGTCTGAGCACATCCTGATGACGTATCTCACTTAGAACATTCTCCTGTACTTTTCTGGTTAGTTCATCTCTTTAAAATTCAGGGCTCTTCTAAACAGACCAGTGCTCTATTTATGCCTATCACTCTGGGAGGTTACAGTCAATTAATTAAGGAAAAAGGGCAAGATAGAAAGGAGGAGGAAGAGGAAAGAAAGTTCTGCTTTCAGAAAATGTTATGCATTCTTTGAGGAGGGGGATAATATGGTCTCTGGGTGATTGGGGAAGGTGGTGTGGGGGCTGCTGAGTACTGTGACAAACTAAAAGGTTGATCCTCACAGCAACAGCAATGCAGCCCTGGGAGCAATGTTGCCTTAGGTCAAGGACATGGATGCAGCCCAACCAGAGAGGAAGACTGATAGCATAAGGACGCAGAGGTGTCCTTGTGCTTCTTATGGCTCTCTGGCACAGATGTTAGGCCATGACAGTGGCAAGGGACTCTTTGGGGGGCTTTTATTGGAGGCTGAAGGACTTTGAGACTCAGGAAGGACATGGGATAAGATAAAAACCGAGACAGGAATAATAGTGGCAAATAGAGAGTCATTCATCATTGGCTCACGCTGTGCCAGGGACTGTTCCAGGAGGTAGGCATGCAGTGGTGTTGGTTGGTTAAATTGAGGGTTATATAATAAAATAATATGTATTTATCTTTTCTTCATGTATGAATAGTATTAGGCTTTTCCTCAATATAAGCACAAAAATTATAGATTATTATCTAATTTATCTTTACTAGCATGCAATACATAAATGCTGAATTCATAAAATGCGATATATGTTTTCTGCTGCTTCCAAAAATATTTTAAAATATTTTTCTCATACAACTACTTTAGAAGACAGTTTGGCAGTTATTCTAAAGCTAAACATAGTCTTTCCATACAACCCAACAATCATACTCCTAAGTATTTACCAAAATGCGTTGAAAATGTATGTCCACATAAAAACCTGCACGCAACTGTTCATAGAAGTTTTATTCACAATTGCTAAATTGGTAAATGAACAAACTGTGGGACATCCATACAATGGAATGTTATTCAGTGCTTTTAAAAAATGAGCTACCAAGCCACAAAAAGACATGGACGAATCTTCAAGGAATATTGGTAAGTGAAAGAAGCCAGCTTGAAAAGGCGGCATACTGTAATGATTCTAATTATGTGACATACTGGAAGAGGCAAAACTATTGAGACAGTAAAAAGATCAGTGGGTGCCAGGGGTACAGGGAGAGAGAGAAAAGAATAGGTGTAGTATAGAAGATTTTTAGAGTAGTGAAACTATTCTGTATGATAATGTAATGGTGGACACCTGTCATTATGCAATTGTCAAACCCCATGGAATATAAACACAAAGATAAATTGCAGACTTTAGTTAATAACAGTGTATCAATATTGGCTCATTAACTGTAACAAACATACCATAATAATGCAAAATGTTAATAATAGAAAAGGTGTATAGGAACTTTCTGTACTTTGTGTTCAATTTTTCTTTAAAACTAAAACTGCTCTAAAAAATAAAATATAAAATACGTAACAGGACAAAAAAAATCCCTCATTTTGTGCCATTACATTGTCAAAACATCTAGAGACCCATATTTTTTCCCAGTTCCCAATGCCTTGTTTTTTTTTTTTTTAAAAACTGCCTTTTTATTATATAACTATCTATTGGCAGAATATATTTCATTTCCCTTCCCCTAAGCGAAAGGAGATAATATTCAATGCTGCTTCCATGAAGACCTATGAAGAAGTCAATTCTATGAAATAAAACTCCTTCTGAATGAATTTATTACACACTGAGAGGAGAATGGGTTGGAAATTCACACGTACATAATACCATTCTTAGAGAATTTGGTCCATATAAATACAGTCTTGGCTGGTGGCCACGCGGGCTTTGGAAATAGCATATCCGAGAAATGTTCTAACTTCTTTGGTGGGATAAAGATGGAAGAAAAACATAATAGAAAGAAATTTTCTTTAATAAATTTTCATGTAAAAAGGTTTAGAAACTCTGGTTTCAAGATAATTGTGGAAATATACTTTTAAGACTGCTACTTAGCTTTTTGTTTTATAGTAACCTTAGGTTTTACAAAATGTCAAATTGACAGTCAGTTACAAGGAAGCCTATTTATAATAGTATAGTCCATTTTTATAGCACTTTTAACTTGCAAAGGGGCTTTTCATATATAACCTAATTTTATATTCACAATCATCTCAGGAAAATCGTCAATTTTTTAAATTTTTTATCTTTTGAGACAGAGTCTTGCTGTATCGCCCAGACCAGAGCCCAGTGGCGTGATCTCAGCTCACTGTAACCTCCGCCTCCCAGGTTCAAGCAATCCTCCCACCTCAGCCTCCTGAGTAGCTGGGATTACAGGCATGCACCACCAAAACCGGCTAATTTTTTGTATTTTTAACAGAGATGTTACCTAGACTGGTCTCGAACTACTGGCCTCAAGTGATCCACCCGCCTCGGCCTCCCAAAGTGCTAGGATTATAGGCATGAGCCACCACGTCTGGCCAAGAATTTTTTTTTTTAGTCAGGGACTTGCTCTGATGCCCAGGCTGACATGATCCTCCCACTTCAGCCTCCTGAGGAGCCAGGACCACAGGTGTGCACCGCAATGCCCGGCTAATTTTTTTAAAATGTTTTTGTAGAGATAGGGTCTCCCTGTGTTGGGCAGGCTGGACTCAAACTCCGGGCCTCAAGGGATCCTCCCACCTCAGCCTCCCAAAGCATTGAGATTACAAGTGTGTGGCTCTGCACCCAGCCTCTTCTAGATTCTTTCTTATAATCATGATGTCGGTAGATGGGTCTGCTACCCTCCAAAACCAAACTGAGGTAGATGGATGTCTTTTCCTAAAGCCACTAAAAGTGAACCCTCTGGTAACTCTCAGTCCAAGATCATCCTGAAGATTTCTTACAAAAAATGAATCCTATTTTCTTCCTTACTTTCTGTCTTTGGCAGAAATCAAGTCTGCATATCAAATGCTTGAATAAAAAAAGAAAAAACCTTGTTTCTCATAGATCATAACCAGAGAAGAACACAGTGTTCAATGAAAGCAAAAATAAACAATCAGAAACATGCGTCTCTCAAAACAAAGCATAAACTCTTTTGTCAGACATTGTTTCTCCCGTTGTGCTGTTTTATGTTTAGAAAGTGAATATAAATGTGTGTCCTCCTGTGTGTTTCCCTGTATACGTATGTTCTCCACTTTAGGGATGTCTCTCCTTGAGTCAATGGCTTAGGAAAAGATCCAAATGCAACATTGATCAAACTGATAGGATGTTGAAGAGCCTGCACATTGAGCTCATTTCTGGATGCTTTATTAGACAATACATTTTCTATACTGGCTGCAATGTGGAGTTACCATCAAATTCTATGGACACAATTGATGCCTTTTAGAGGCCGGGAGACCAAACCAATGAGATTCATTTTTAGAGTGACGGCAAATCCTCTCATCCTTTCCAATTTGGTCATTCTCCAGGGAGTGAAATTCAACCTGCGTCTTTCAGTGTGAAACTTTCTGAGATTACAATTGTTTGCGTTTGGGGTTAAGCCTTAGACTACCCAGAAATGGAGTAGAATCACTCTGATTCCAATCTTGCAGATCTGTCTGAGCTTCCTCTTTTTCTGGTCTATGTTAGGGAGGGTGCTCATTCTTATAGTTTCTACCTTTTAGTTCACAGTTGTACATACACATTAGAAGTCCACATATTTTTTAAAACAAAAATATTTGCAATTAAGGATGTCATGTTATGTAAATATCAATTTTACTTCTTTTTTCCCCCTGACTTATTTCATATGGAGGGAAAACAAAATGTTGACTCATTCCTGCCTCTTTCTAGGCATGTCACCTTCCATATAATCATTCATGAGTAAAAATACTAAAATACCACTAAGCCCATTACAGCTTAATTTTTTTGATAATAGAGCAAAATTATCTGTAGTATACTAAAATCATGAAAATATTTTGTGTTACCCTGATCAGTTGCCTATTACTTCAATAAGCATCTCTTTAAACCCTCAAGGCTGTTCTGTCCCTCCTCCCTTCCAGAAAGGCTGGAGTCTATCACGGCGATTCTGGCCCTGCAGGGCTGGGTGGGTGCATTCTCTCATTACCCTGGAGGTTCCTGGAATCCACTACCACTTCTCCTAGAGAAAGCTGGTGGGTCTTTGAAAGAAAACTCTTCTAAGCTAGCTACTGAGCCTGTGTGTGAGGGAGGTTGGGAAATTGCAACCAAGCAGTCAACAGAGTTTCACTCTAAATATACTGACAGGCCAGTGGAGGAGAAACACACACTCCCCACTAACTCCAATACAAGAGGAGGAATCACCACTTCTTCCAAAAATGATGTCACCATACGCAGAAGAGGAGATGATTATTTTTGACCCAGGTGGGATGGAGTGGAGGTGACATTTTTATCTTGCAAAATTTGCATCTTCCCTTTTTGGCAGGTGAGATTGATGCTAGATGTAAATTTCTGTGGTCAGAAGGAAGCAAGAACACACACCTCCACTTATAATTCCCTAATGACTAATACTGAGAAATCTTTTCTCTTCGACAAGGAAAAAAAACACTCTACAACATAAAGAAAGAAAATCTCATGCCACATGGCTTTATAGATTCCAATCATACCTTCTTTGATTATTTCTGCAGCAGCATTTACATCCTGAAGGTGATGGAAGCCTTGCATTTGTGTCTTGGTGCCATGGGGAGCCTCTGTCTGGAGCCTGTGAATTTCTAGAGGCCCTTCAATGCATGGAAGACCCTCTAAAAATTACAGCTGCTAAAAATGGGAGCAGATTCCCTACCACTGGGGGCATCATGCTGCAAATTACATGTCTATCCAGAATGATGGATGGTAGAGGGCATGCGTACTTTAGTTAGGTAAGAATATTGGAGAAGACAGTATCTAAAGTTGCTTCCAATTTTGGTATCCTGTGGTGCAGTAGAAAAGTAACCACAGGGATAATGGAGACTAAATAGAATAAATTAAAAGCAAGATAGTAAATTCCTCTCTAATCCCCAAGACTAGAGGTTAGAGAAGGCAAGCAGAGCATATTGAACAAGTGTGATTTTACGTAATGGTCCTTACCCAATAAGGAGTGGATTGAGTAGGAAGAATTAAAGAGTGGTGTTTTATTGACATCTACTCCTTCTCTATAAATTGTATTACATAGGTGAAAGTAAGTAAGAAACCGAATGGCTGCGGAATCTTCTCTCCCATGTTTTCCAAAGAGTATGATCCACATATGAATGCCTGTGTGCGTACATATATAGAAGGTGACCAATGGCAGGAGTCGCACTAATGGGTTGACTCGTTTAATGGTTAATTTGTTTTTGGAAACTTCCATAAGAACCCTCTAAAAGACACTCCAGAAATAGTAGAACAACAACACTTGGGATAAGGGCCTTTAAACTGTGTAATTATTTGTTCCATGTCTAGAAAATATTATAAATCCCCTCTTTCTCCCCCTGTTAGAGGGAAGCTGCAGGAAGATTTTGCAAGCATACCCGGATAAAAGCCCCCGTACAGTCACTTATGTGCACTTCTCTATAACACTGGAGGGAATTCAGTTTTATGTCTGCAGAGCTGCTGTTGCCAGGGAAACAGAGGTCCTAGTCAGAATGCAACTGAATTAAGTCCCAGTGTGCCAGTTACTGGGTCTTTTCATTTGCCTACAACATACATGAATCTCTTTATGTCTAAGAAAGTTATTTTCTTCATATGCATCCATTGCACACACAGCTTTGTCAGCAAGATCCAGACAGAAGACTGTACCTGGTTACCTGATTAGGACTGTGGGTGACAGGAGAGAAAACAAAAATAGAGAGTAGACCATCCCACCATTGGCCAAGAGCAGATGGTGTGAACTGGCCCTTTCCACTGAGTGCCTTCTGGTAAGGAGTTCTCCAGAGACCAAGGAGCTTTACCATTGTTCCTCATAGGTATGCATCTCATCTTCCAGGAGGGCATCACTCTTTCCTATGACTCAGGTAAACTCAACATGGGCCACTTTGCAACTAGAATTGACACAAGCTGTGGCCACTCGTCTGAATTCTCTGGCTCTCAGCTTTTATTGGAAGGTCTCCAGAAACAACCTAAATTCTTATTGTAATTTCAGGTTTGTTCCAACTCAAACAAGTTACCTGAGTGATTTCTAGAGAGTATGTGAGCTGATGCAGACTAGATTTGAGCTGTTTTAAGTTCCATCAAAGTCCTAGTGAGATAAACATCCCATTTGTATAATCCTGAGTTCATAGGTATCAATAACCTAGCAGACCAATATTTGTGTGTAGATTAGTGCCTTTCGAGGAGCCATCTGTATCCAGTTTTTGTTTTATTGGTGGTAAGTTTACCTGACATTTTTAGTCACGATATACAGGATGATGCAGAAAATATGCTGATATGGTCACCCAAGAAAAACCGGAAACATGGTAATTTCCAACGTGCTTTCTTTAGGAAGACAGGAAAGAATGTGGTGAGTGTATATTTATGAAGGCTCGTTGTATGCACTATTTAGTTTTTGAGTAAAGACCTTAAAGCTTAACTCTCCAGAAAGCTTCATGCTCTTTCTCTACTCTGTTATTATATCTCTACTCTGCATGATATTAATATTTCCAGATTTTTAACTCTCTGCTTAGCGTTTATCTAAGGTTTATTTTCTGCCTTATATAGTACTGGTAAACTAGTCCCTTGAGGGTTCTTCTTTTCACTTGTTATTCCCATTACCTTTTCATTGCATTTGCAAAAGATATTCCAGGACACATTTTAGGCATTTCCTTGCTAATGTCTTGCTTGAAAATAGCATATTCTCAAAGGAAACCCGTTTTACTTCATGAAGTATAGAGGGGTCATTACCTATTCTGATAGGCTAATTCAGGTTTGGTTGTGTTAAAGTGGCTCACGTGATCAAGGATTTATAGATGCTGATTTACTCTGAATGTTTATCCCTTATTCTTATAGCTGAGGCTGTTTGGCCAGGTCATTTAACAACGCCAAAATGATTGTTTAAAGCAAGACAATGTACTTATGTGGTGGTGTGTGCAATGTAAAGCCCTAACCTAGAAGATTGACACTTAAGACTTGACAGAAACATTCTTTTTGCAGCAAAATAAACAGTTTTTTCTTCTCCTAGATAAGGTAGAGCACTTTTTTATTAATCCATATGGTTTGTTCTCTTGCATAGGAAACCACTAAAGACAACAATTTTCCAGATCTCTTCCTCCAAGTTTTCATTATCAATAAATGCTTGTGATATCAGCTGAGGTTTTTTAGCCCACACATCCGGCTTGTATCTTAATTGCAATAACTTCTTGTCACAAACAGCCAATGTAGTGATGTATGGAAAAAGTGGATTTTTTCCTTGTCCCTCGAGTCTGCCCTAACCCCCACCTTCAGCCCCCTCTGCCTTTCCCCCATTCCCAACCTCACGGAGCCCGGAAAGTCTTTCAGCATTCCTGGAAAGTTACATAAGACACCAGAAGTAGATAACATTGTATGTTTCCAGTTTAAAATGCAGAATGTTTATGCCTGTAAGGAGAGAAGAATGAAAGAATGTCCCTTTCGGAAATCATATCTGAAATGACTGGGGGGCTGACAAGTGCTTCCCTTACAGTAAAAATAATGTTTAAGGACTTGAAGTGTTTTTTACTACCTGGTAAATAGCAAGTTCTTTGTTCCTTAAGTACAAATCCTAAGCACCTAAAAGCCCATATTACAGCCAACTAGGCTGAGCATTCCAAGTTCTTATTTGAGGCAAGGGCAGTAGAAGTGAAATTTTATTTTTTATTTTATGAAAGTATGTATGTATGTATTTATTTATTTTGAGATAGGGTCTCACTCTGTTGCCCAGGATGGTGTACAGTGGTGAGATCACAGCTCACTCTAACCTTGAACTCCTGGCCTCGATTGATCCTACCACCTCAGCCTCCTGAGTAGCTGGGACTACAGGCACATGCCAAAAGACCTGGGTAATTTTGTTTTGTTTTGTTTTGTTTTTGAGACAAAGTCCCGCTCTGTTGCCCAGGCTGGAGTGCAATGGCACGATCTCGGCTCACTGCAACCTCTGCCTCCCAGGTTCAAGCAATTCTCCTGCTTCACGCTCCCGAGTAGCTGGGATTACAGGCACGCACCACCACAACTGGCTAATTTTTGTATTTTTAATTGAGATGGGGTTTCGCCGTGTTGGCCAGGCTGGACTCCAACTCCTGACCTCAGGTGATCTGCCTGCCTCTGCCCCCTAAAGTGCTGGGATTACAGGCATAAGCCATCACACCTGGCTTTTTTTTTTTTTTTTTTTTTTTTGTAGAGACAGGGTCTCACTGGGTGCCCAGGCTGGTCTCAAACTCCTGGCGTCAAGTGACTGTCCTACTTTGGCCTCAAAAAAGCACCGGGATTATGGGTGTGAGCCACTGCCCCCAATTCCCAGTCTTCTTTTAAGGGTATGGAGGGCAAAGGGTTGAGGACGAGAGTCTTGGCATGGCATGAAAGAAAGGCAAGCCAGGTTCCACTGTTCGCTTCTGATTATCCCTCAAATGCCTAAATCACTGCTATGGAGAGTTTGGTCTCCCCAAACCCAGAGTCTCAATCACATAGACTGCTCCCGTTTGGTGTGGGACAAACCTTCTGAGAACAGAAGCCACTGTGCTACAATTTGGAAGAGGAGAGCATTTAGTTAGAAAATGGAAGCACCAAAAACAGAGGTTTGATGTATAAACATATTTGCCCAAATCAACATACCACACAGAATTGGCTCTTCCGTGGCCTCCTGACCTTGCCCTTCCCTTCAGTGAGGTCAGCACGGAGACACGCAGCCCCGTGGCTGGTTCCAACACACTGCAACGGTCTCCAGGGCAACACTGGCTGAAGGTCATTTCGGTGCTGCCCAATTTCCAGGAAGCGGCTGTTCTCTGTGGTCTGGCATCGGGGTGGAAAGTTTAACCTGAGCACAAGGGGAAGGTGGTTGGTTTCTGCAGACTCTGCATTCTTTTCTCTGGTGGGTCAGATTTGTGAGCAAGGATTGGCTCCCACCTAGATAGTAAATATTTTTGAAAGGTCTGTGGAGTGTAGACATGACCTTTGCCCAATGGACTTACCACCCATCTGGATAAGTAGCAACCAAAGGAAGATGCCGAGCATCTCTGCTCCTTTCCTTAGAAGGGGAAGTGACTTGAGAAATGGAATGAATTAACAAGGAATGAAAAACACAAAAGGGTTTAGGGCAGTTTCTTTCCCCTGTCCCTATTGGCCCCTATTCTTATCATTTCTTTGTGATGTTGCTGATTCTAGTTTACTTTTTGAAACGGAATTATGCCACGGGAGGGGTGTAGGTCTGCTGATACTAAAATAAATGCAGGGTTTAGCAATAACTCTCTTCACAGCAATGACTCCTCTTTATTTTAAATATTGTCTCGGCCAGTTCTTTCTTGCGTGTCCTTTTACTTAATATCATTGATGATACTTATTCTCATGGGCACTCATCAAAAGTTGATGGAACCCCTACTAAGCACCAGGCACTGTGCTAAGCCCTGAGACTAGAAAACAGGCAATTACACTACAGTGTGTAAGTGCTATGGAGGTCAAGAGGAAGTAAAGTTACCCAATCTGAGGGACAGCCCAGTGTGATGGCCTTGAAGGGATGATCTTGGGCACCAGGTAACCTGCAAAGATCCTTAACCTGGTACAATCCTTCATCTCTCTCTAATATTTTCTATCGAGGCATTTTATGAATTGCCTCCTGGCTAAAAGTGACTGCATAAGTCACTTTTAAGCGTTTCATGTCTAGAAAAACCTAAGGGTAAAGAGGGCAAAAGATAGCATCACCTTACAAACAGGACCCTATATCCCATGGTCTCCATGCCTCAACATGGTGGCTCACACGAAGAAAGACTCCCACATGAGGACTTCAATTGTAGTTGTTTACCTTCCTAATGAACCAAATAACTGAAGCTGATTAAACTCTTCTTAAGAAATAATCACTCGCTCTAAGAAACTTCCACAGGAAACCTGAACATTTTTATTATACCTGGAAGATCAAAGTAGAATGAAGAGATCTGGGGAGGTGGAAGCTGGTAGTGATGTCTCTCATCCTGGTGATTTACAACAATCACCACATATGTGGCATCTGAATGACAGAAGCTAGAAAGACTCTCAGGAGAATATTTCACACTTAACATTGACAGAGAAGAGCCCCAAATCCAGGGAAACCAGCTGATCTAAGTAAAATCAGCCCCAATAAACAATAGCTCATAGCCCTTCACAATCACTTTATGGATCGGTGTTATCCCATTTTACAGATGAGGAAATTAAGGTTTAAAGAGATGAAGCTACTTGAGCAAGATCATCCCAAATCACCTTTTACTGGTTTCAAAGCCTGACAACAGGCACGGCAATACTTTCTCATGTCCGGAGTTTATTTATGTCAGACACACAGCTTGGGTAGCTTCAGAGCTACCCAAGGCTCTGGAGCCTTAACCATAATGCAATATTATATAAAATTAAGGGATTTCTTGAAATAAATTATCCTCTATGGAAGGGGTTGGCAAACTACTGCTCACAGTCCAAATCCAGTCCTCTGCCTGTGTTTTCAAATAAAATTTCATTGAACATTCTCATTCGTTTGTGTATTATCTGTGGTTACTTTCAAGCCACAATGGCAAGGATAAATAGGTGCAACAGAGACCACAGGTCTTGCAAATCTGAAATTATCCACTACCTGACCCTTTACAGAATAGTATAAAAGTGTTACTATAAAATGAGTTTATCTGTCTATATATTATTCTCACTCAATAATTTACAATGCTTCAAACATTAACCCTGAGGCTATTTGCAACTTCCAAATGTATCCTCCAAATAATGAAAGACTCAAGTCTACTTCATGCAGTTTTAGGGGTAAGTATATTTTATATTATTCATATCTACTTTAGGTGAACTTAGTATAATTCTCTTAGCTAAAACATTCTATTTTCCAAACATCCTGGATAATAAAAATCTTAATGTGATGGTACTCTACAATCTCTAGTATTTAACTCAAATTGTTACAGTTAAAAGTTACATACTGGTTATGAAATTAACAAATTTATTCATATTTAAACATGGTTTAGGTTTTCATTTTGTTTTCCAATCTCCCACCTATGCAATTTGATTTCTGTTGCTTGCTGTGGCTCTACAGTAAGTATTGTATTTCTCCTTCTTACCTTCAAAGACAGATAGCTCTTGTGTTTTCCCATATCTGAAACGTCAACCAGTCAGTAAAATGCACTTATTCCCTCTCTTTCCAATACCATCTATTTTTCTTTTCCTATGATTCATTTATATTAGCTTACCAATATTCTTTTATTTCTCTCATCTAAAAACAAAATTTTCTTGTAACGAAATTTGCTTTCTATTGTCCCATTTCATAGGATCTCCATGAAGCAAAACTCCTTCAGCAATTTCTTCAATTTCTCTTCTTTCATACCCTTTTAAACTCTTCCAACCTGGCCTCCACTCCTCACCCCCACTCCAACCATTGTACTAAAACTGTTCTGAAGAAGGGTACCAGTGACCTTGTTGCAAAATTCATATTTGACTCTCAATCCTCATACCACCTGACCTACCACCAGCGGCATCTGAGGTACTTGTTTGCTGTATTCTTCCTGATGCACTTTCTTGCTTGGGCTTCCAAGATACCACACTATCCCACACTCTGGTGTGATCTCTGTTCTGTCAGGGTTCACATTTAGAACTGTGCCTGGCACATGGTAGGTGCTCAGAAAATAACCGTTTAAGAAACTTGAGACCTCTGTTGCATCACAAAATATATTCACACCACTGCTATCAAGATACTATTAGAAGTTGTTTGAAGGCTTGTTAGCAAAATATGCTTATGTTACAGCCTGATGATCATGTTTCAATACAAAAATATGAAGTACTTTTATCACAATAGCCATCTTTTATCAATATGTTATGTATATACTATCTTCATTTAAGGTATTTAAGAAACCATGGTCTTTATCCCAGTATTCTTTTCTTTTTCTTTTAATCTTAATTTCTTCTAAAAAAAAATGGGATACATGTGCTGAACCTGCAGGTTTGTTACGTAGGTATACGTGTGCCATGGTGGTTTGCTGCACCTATTGACCCATCCTCTAAGTTCCTTCCCCTCACCTCCCATCCTGCAACAGGCCCGGCTGTGTGTCATTCCCCTCTCTGTGTCCGTGTGTTCTCAATGTTCAACTCCCACTTATGAGTGAGAACATGCAGTGTTTGGTTTTCTGTTTCTGTGTTAGTTTGCTGAGGATGATGGCTTCCAGCTTCATCCATGTCCCTGCAAAGGACATGATCTCATTCTTTTTTATGGCTGCATAGTATTCCATGGTGTATATGTACCACATTTTCTTTATTCGGTCTATCATTGATGGGCATTTGGGTTGGTTCCAAGTCTTTGCTATTGTAAAGAGTGCTGCAATAAACATATGTGTGCATGTGTCTTTATAGTATAATGATTTATGTTGATTTGGGTATATACCCAGTAATGGGATTGCTGGGCCAAATGGTATTTCTGGTTCTAGATCCTTGAGGAATCACCACACTGTCTTCCACAACAGTTGAACTAATTTATATTCCCACCAACAGTGTAAAAGCATTCTATTTTTCCACAGCCTCATCAGCATTTATTGTTTCCTGACTTTTTAATAATTGCCAATCTGACTGGTGTGAGATGGTATCTCATTGTGGTTTTGATTTGCATTTCTCTGATGGTCAGTGATGTTGACTTTTTTTCATGTTTGTTGGCTGCATCATTGTCTTCTTTTGAGAAGTGTCTGTTCACATCCTTTGCCCACTTTTTGATGGGGTTGTCTGTCTTTTTCTTGTAAATATGTTCAAGTTCCTTATAAATTCTGGATATTAGCGCTTTGTCAGATGGGTAGATTGCAAAAATTTTCTCCCATTCTGTAGGTTGCCTGTTTACTCTGATGACAGTTTTTTGTTTTTGTTTTTGTTTTTTTGTTCCTGTCAGAAGCTTTTTCATTTAATTGGATCCCATTTGTCAATTTTGGCTTTTGTTGCAATTGCTTTTGGCATTTTCGTCATGAAGTCTTTGCCCATGCCTGTGTCCTGAATGGTATTGCCTATGTTTTCTTCTAGAGTTTTTATGGTTTGTGGTTTTACATTTAAGTCTTTAATCCATCTTGAATTAATTTTTGTATAAGGCGTAAGGAAGGGGTCCAGTTTCAGTTTTCTGCATATGGCTCAGTATTCTACTGAAAATGCCATCCATCCATGTTTGAGAAAGTTACAAATTTGGATAGGTCACTGATTTGAAAGCATGGCCTGACATTTTTCTTCTTTACTTAACATTAGAAAGAAGTTGGAAGAAGACCTGGAGAATATATCAGTGATGGAGTTGCTGATAAATATAGCCATATTAGTAAATCCTACTCAGAAGAAAGTCAAGGATTAGGATGACATGTTAACTAGAGTGGCATTCCTTTTGGCCAGATAAGATGTGGCATCTGTGTTAGATAATCCTTCTGAACCACTTCCCACTCCATTAAACAGAGAATATACCCATTGCTGGCACTCAATAATACTTTGGTATTGAATTGAATCGAGTTGACTTGAGAACCAACAAAGAAACAAAAGACCTGGTACATTTTAACTGAGTTGCATTTGATTTAAGAAGCAATTTTACTCGGTATATCTTTCCCAAATCAAAACACTATCTCTAGCAAGTAGAAATTAAGAATCTAGACTCACAAGGTTACTCAGGACAATTCTGGAGAAAACTGAAAGTGATTGATCTTACTCAGCATCTGCACGTTTTATGAGAAGAAAGGCACGTACCACGAGAGGCCTGTAAACATTGTGTGAGAACGAAGCTGGGAGTGTGATGTGCAGCACTTCCTCTGGGTGCATGACATGCCACCAAGACAAATGGCATCTGAGCCACTCACTTGGCCCAAGTCTAAGATTATTAATGAATTTCCGTCCTGTTCTTTATAGGCTTTAATGACCCAGAGAGATTTCACTGTTTAATATTTAAACAAATGTTTTTATCCTGAGACAATGAGTCTCTGTTGAGACTGGATAGAACTGTTAATATTCTCCAGTATGGCTGACTGCCATTCCTGCTGGAGTAAATGGCATAAGCTGATTTCTAGAAAGGTTTGAAAATAAAAGCTCGCCTTTTGGTGACATGTGAATGGAATGCTTTAATGGCACACACAGCAGAAGAGGTGTGTGTGGTCTGCTCCACGGGGTGAGTTCTGCTATTGTTCTGACCCTTCTAGCAGAACACAATGATTTGGTTGGCATAGCTGGTGCTGGCTAACCAGACTGGCTTGATTTCATGTGCTGCGTCTTCTTGGCATTGACCCTTATCAATTTATCAAAAGTGGCTTTTAACAAACCCCTTCTTAATTATCCATCATCAAAGGCAGTTGGGTAATGGGCTTACCATTTGAGGTCCAATGTCACTCATTGGTAAAATGGGCTTTGGTGAACTCTAGAAGTAAACTTATTTAGAGTGAGAGCATGTTTTCACATGAAATAGGACATTTCTCAAAGTCTACTTTGACCTAATTAAGCAATTCTCCTGTCTCAGCCTCCCGAGTATCTGGGATTACGTACTTATCTTCTTTAAGAATGATTTATATGCATATGGAATGTAAAAAATAAAACTCTTTGTAAGATTATCATGTATAAATTCTAAAGCTTTCAGAACATTATGTCCAATAAATAAAAAGATTGATTCCTCCAACCCCAAAATCATAGGATATGCATTACAGAACATACTTTCTGGGAAAGGTGTGAACTGGTATGGATTCCTTCACATTCTCTCATCCAGCTCTCTGAGATTTAAGATTTCAGTATGGCTGCCTCATGCCAGGAAACCAAGCTGCCTGGCCATGGGATGAGATGTTTCTTCTTAAATCTGTCAGATCAGAAGCATTACTGTGGGCATCAGTGAAAAACAACTTCCTAGCATTCTCGCCCACCTACCTTCACTAATGAGATTGACTCATTAGATACAAGTTGGAACCCAGAAATATGGATTATTAATAAAATGATTATAGCAGGAAATAGTGTGAAATACTTCTCTGGGATATAGAACTCTAAAATCATGACCTCATCAACTGAACACATACCAGTTTTATGGCTTAATGTATTTACAAGAAGTGAACAAGCAAAACTAGAGAAAAGCTAAGATGTTAAAAGCACCTATAAAGAATAATACGTTGTAGAAGAAAAGATAAAGACAGTTAAGTATGACAATATAATGTCAGCAATGAGTGGTGACTGGAAACTTAACATACGTGAAGAGAAATAGAGAGAGAGGAGAGACCCAGAAACCTTTGCTTGCATTCTTGTATCTGTTTTGAATGAGTTTTGGGCTTATGCCCAAAATCAAGGTCTCCCATTCTCATTACAGTACCCTGTTCAATAGTCCCTGTCTCTTTTATGTATGTAGTATTAGATCTCTAGAAGCTAATTAGCAATGCTTGGGGTTTCATTTTTATGTATTTATTTAAAAGCAGAAAGCATTAAGAAAAAATAAGTAGTAGGAGGAAATGTGTTGATGTAATAGCTAGCATTTATTGAGCATTCAGCTATGCACCTCTCATTGTCCATGTATTATTTCTTTATTGATGTTCACAACAACTCTCTGTGATAGGTTTTATTATTACAGTTTTATTGATAAGAAAACAGAAACTCAGAGAAGTGGCTTATCTAAGTTCCAATTGCCTACAGGTGACAGCTGCAATTTAACCCCAGCTGTGTCTCTTTCTAGTACACACTATGTAAGTGAGATGGCAAGCCATGGATCATGAAGTAAGAATCTTAATTCATTTCCTTGGTTGTCTGATGACTCATTGTGTGGCATTAGACCAGGATTTAGATTCCTTCATGCCTTTGTTGTCATATCTTCCAGTTTGCAGACAACCTGCCCAATAACTGGTTTTGACCAGCCCCCAATATAACATGAGTTGAGGTAAATACAGGACTCTATTTAGAGTTCTAAATCTGGTGTGAAAATGAGAGGAACATTTCAGAAATCTTTTAGTTGCTGTCCAAATGGCAGCAGTCATTCACATGTTAGGGAGCCCATTAAAATAGTCAAGAGCACCATCTGCCTAACTGGGAACTGTTTGATAAGCTACTATCGCTTTTTGACTCTGTCTCATGCTTGTCAACTTGCTAAATGCTGACAAAAGCGGCAGAGTGGACCTACCTTCTAAAACAAAGCATTCTGTTCCAACTGGCAAAAACGTCTTCCAGACACTTGCCTACAAGTAACCGGCTCTTTAATGAGTTGCTGTTTTTATTAAGTATTTTCTGGAGTTGATTCATCCTCTTGGATTTAAGAGACACAAACATAACACAGTGTGCTTTTCCTATGCAGAAGCTGTTTGCGTGGTATGTAATATAAGTCCCCAGTGAATCTCAGCAAATCAGTGATATTTGTACAGATTTGAAAGGTTTCACAAATCTTTGAAAGAATTAAAAATAAGCACATTCAGCCATGCTCTCTGGTGTCAAGGTGTGTCCTTTGCAAGAGGGAGCTGGGGAGTATGAAAAAGAACATGAAATTAATGTTGAGCAAACAGATGTCCATAGCCAAAGGGACTAGCAGTGCAATTCCTGAGCAAGAAAGCTATGTGCAAATGAGTCCAGGAAAGAAATGTGATAACATTGGGAAATGATATCTACTGGGTAGGTCCTAGGTCTGTAGGGGTTTCATTTTTTCAGCAACAAGTCAGTGATGGCACCAAGAACATATATGAGTTCATTATGTTAATGGATGACCCCAGGTTGACCCGGAGAAAATTAAAATTCAGAATGATTTTATTCAATGTGGGGAGAAACTTACTGAAGATTTTAAGGACATGTTCCAGGCAACACATACAGAAAATAACATGGCAGGAGAAAATCCTTTGGGATTTACAGCAAACTTCATGCTCCCCTAGGTCACTGATGCTCAGCTACGGTACTGTTTCCAAACATTGTACATGTGTGAGGTACAATGTTTAACTGGAGAGGAAGCATATGGTGGGTTTTTCTTTAGTTGGTAAAACAAATGGAAGAAGAAGATAGAAGATAACTACAGAACTAGAGACTGGAGTCAATCAACAGGATGAGATTTATGATAGTAAGAATTGTTGAACATCAAAAATGTATGGTTAGGAATATAATGGTCATTCCTGAAAGCCTTTGAAAATCAGAAACGTTTTGTCTTCATAGAGTAGCTTGGATGCCATTGTGGCATCCAAGTTTTAGATGATTCTTGAGGACACATGTAGCCTAACGTTTCTGTGGGCTCTGGAAGAGGAGAATCCATGCCCCGTTTGAAAGCTCCTTGGACCCTCTTCTCTCCTCCTGGACACAGACGGCAATCAGGATGACACTGGTTCAGGTTGCGCTGGCTTTTTATGTCTCTATGGTAACTGACTCTGAAGTTGGGGCAGGCTACTGTTTCTTCCTTTTCTATCCCCCAAAATGGAACTCAATGAGTTTATTTTTCTCCTTCTCTGAACTAACTCTGATTTACCAGACTGAGATGAAGACACAAAGAAAACGAGAAAGATAGAAGTGAAAGCAGAGGCAGTGCCGAGGAGGTGGCTGGAGACTTGAGCCTCATTCTCATCTCCACTGCCATATCCTCTTAAGTGGCCCTCAACCTCAACTAAGCACTATCTCGGCTGTGGAAATGTAGCTTTAAGACAAATTCCCCAGACCCCAGACCCATTTCAATCAATTTGCTATCCTAAAACTCTAGAAACTCTGGACCTGTCAGTTCTTTCACATCATCGAAGAAGTACTCATTCCCTGTTTACAGAATCAAAGACACCCTGAGCTGGAAGAGACCTTAGAGTTAGCACTTTCAGTCTAACAACTTTATTTTACAAATGGGCAACTGAGGCCGGGCGCAGTGGCTCACACCTGTAATCCCAGCACTTTGGTAGGCCAAGGCGGGCATGGTCAACATGGCGAAACCCTGTCTCTACCAAAAATACAAAAATTAGCCGGGCGTGGTGGTGTGCACCTGTAGTCCCAGCTACTCAGAAGGCTGAGGAAGGAGAATCGCTTGAACCCAGGAGAGACAGGTTATAGTGAGCCAAGATTGCACCACTGCACTCCAGCCTGGATGACAAAGTGAGACTCCATCTCAAAAAAAAAAAAAAAAAAAAAAAAAAAAAAGGGCAATTGAGGGCCAGAGCAGATCGATGACTAGACCAAAATTACTCTGCCCCAGTGCAACAGAGCAAGGTTTACCATCAAGTATACTGACTCCAGGTGGGCAAGACATGTGCCCATTTTTTTCCTGCCATTTCTCCAGGATTTAGCACGATGCCAGGCACATAGTAGGCACTCAGTAAATATTTGTTGAATGAACAAATAATCCATGATTCCTCACATCCCTTCCACTGCTCTTGCTGCTCCAGTACGTGTTTTAGCTCTCCAAAAACAACAACAATAATCGGAGGACCAATTTAGCTCATTTCACCCAACCTCAAGCCCTGAAATGACCTAATATTTTATCTTGGAATGTTCCACTGTGTTTCCAAAAATTCCTAGTATGCAGTGGTGTGGTTTGACTTAATTCTGTTTTCACAAAATGAGCTTGGCTGCATGAATCCTTCAGAAAAGCCTAATTGTGTTCCCCTGACTCAACTTTTGCCAATGAAGAAGCACCATCTTGTATTTCTAATTCTGAGCATTTTTATTCCCAGGCTTTCCTTCTAATCTTTCTTAAAAATTCCCCCCATCACAGAAAGGGAACTCTTTTACCTTGGTTGATAGTAAAAGTAGGCTGAGAATACTGTGGGCCATATGTAGGTAAATCTCACTGTGTTTAAATTCTCACATCAGGGAATAAGATTTCAAGACACAAATTGCAAGTGAGGCCAATTCCTTGCAATACTGAAGGATTCATCATAAGATTTCTTTAAGTGTTGGTCTTGGATATACATGTGGTTCAGTTTACCACTTCTTAGAAATATAACTATTAGGTTTTCTCAGGCAAGATGCCTGAATAGGAACAGCTCCGGTCTACAGCTCCCAGCGTGAGCGATGCAGAAGACGGATGATTTCTGCATTTCCATCTGAGGTACCAGGTTCATCTCACTAGGGAGTGCCAGACAGTGGGCGCAGGACAGTGGGTGCAGCACACCATGCGCGAGCCAAAGCAGGGCGAGGCATTGCCTCACTCGGGAAGCGCAAGGGGTCAGGGAGTTCCCTTTCCTAGTCAAAGAAAGGGGTGACAGACGGCACCTGGAAAATCGGGTCACTCCCACCCCAATACTGCACTTTTCTGACGGGCTTAAAAAATGGTGCACCAGGAGATTATATCCCACACCTGGTTTGGAGGGTCCTATGCCCACGGAGTCTCGCTGATTGCTAGCACAGCAGTTTGGAATCAAACTGCAAGGCAGCAGCGAGGCTGGGGGAGGGGCGCCCTCCATTGCCCAGGTTTGCTTAGGTAAACAAAGCAGCCGGAAAGCTGGAACTGGGTGGAGCCCACCACAGCTCAAGGAGGCCTGCCTGCCTCTGTAGGCTCCAACTCTGGGGACAGGGCACAGACAAACAAAAAGACAGCAGTAACCTCTGCAGACTTAAATGTCCCTGTCTGACAGCTTTGAAGAGAGCAGTGGTTCTCCCAGCACGCAGCTGGAGATCTGAGAACGGGCAGACTGCCTCCTCAAGTGGGTCCCTCATCCCTGACCCCCGAGCAGCCTAACTGGGAGGCACCCCTCAGTAGGGGCAGACTGACACCTCACACAGCCGGGTACTCCTCTGAGAGAAAACTTCCAGAGGAACGATCAGACAGCAGCATTTGTGATTCACGAAAATCTGCTGCTCTGCAGCCACCGCTGCTGGTACCCAGGCAAACAGGGTCTGGAGTGGACCTCTAGCAAACTCCAACAGACCTGCAGCTGAGGGTCCTGTCTGTTATAAGGAAAACTAACAAACAGAAAGGACATCCACACCAAAAGCCCATCTGTACATCACCATCATCAAAGACAAAAAGTAGATAAAACCACAAAGATGGGGGAGAAACAGAGCAGAAAAACTGGAAACTCTAAAAAGCAGAGCGCCTCTCCTTCTCCAAAGGAATGCAGCTCCTCACCAGCAATGGAACAAAGCTGGACAGAGAATGACTTTGACGAGTTGAGAGAAGAAGGCTTCAGACGATCAAACTACTCTGAGCCACAGGAGGAAATTCAAACCAAAGGCAAAGAAGTTGAAAACTTTGAAAAAAATTTAGACGAATATATAACTAGAATAACCAATACAGAGAAGTGCTTAAAGGAGCTGATGGAGCTGAAAGCCAAGGCTCGAGAACTATGTGAATAATGCAGAAGCCTCAGGAGCCGATGCGATCAACTGGAAGAAAGGGTATCAGTGATGGAAGATGAAATGAATGAAATGAAGCGAGAAGGGAAGTTTAGAGAAAAAAGAATAAAAAGAAATGAACAAAGCCTCCAAGAAATATGGGACTATGTGAAAAGACCAAATCTACGTCTGATTGGTGTACCTGAAAGTGATGGGGAGAATGGAACCAAGTTGGAAAACACTCTGCAGGATATTATCCAGGAGAACTTCCCCAATCTAGCAAGGCAGGCCAACATTCAGATTCAGGAAATACAGAGAATGCCACAAAGATACTCCTCGAGAAGAGCAACTCCAAGACACATAATTGTCAGATTCACCAAAGTTGAAATGAAGGAAAAAATGTTAAGAGCAGCCGGAGAGAAAGGTCCGGTTATCCACAAAGGGAAGCCCATCAGACTAACAGCGGATCTCTCGGCAGAAACCCTACAAGCCAGAAGAGAGTGGGGGCCAATATTCAACATTCTTAAAGAAAAGAATTTTCAACCCAGAATTTCATTTCCAGCCAAACTAAGCTTCATAAATGAAGGAGTAATAAAATACTTTACAGACTTTACAGACTTTACAGACAAGCAAATGCTGAGAGATTTTGTCACCACCAGGCCTGCCCTAAAAGAGCTCCTGAAGGAAGCACTAAACATGGAAAGGAACAACCGATACCAGCCACTGCAAAATCATGCCAAATTGTAAAGACCATCGAGGCTAGGAAGAAACTGCATCGACTAACGAGCAAAATAACCAGCTAACATCATAATAACAGGATCAAATTCACACATAACAATATTAACTTTAAATGTAAATGGGATAAATGCTCCAATGAAAAGACACAGACTGGCAAATTGGATAAAGAGTCAAGACCCATCAGTGTGCTGTATTCAGGAAACCCATCTCACGTGCAGAGACACATATAGGCTCAAAATAAAAGGATGGAGGAAGACCTACGAAGCAAACGGAAAACAAAAAAAGGCAGGGGTTGCAATCTTAGTCTCTGATAAAACAGACTTTAAACCAACAAAGATCAAAAGAGACAAAGAAGGCCATTACATAATGGTAAAGGGATCAATTCAACAAGAAGAGCTAACTATCCTAAATATATATGCACCCAATACAGGAGCACCAAGATTCATAAAGCAAGTCCTGAGTGACCTATAAAGAGACTTAGACTCCCACACAATAATAATGGGAGACTTTAACACCCCACTGTCAACATTAGACAGATCAACGAGAGAGAAAGTTAACAAGGATACCCAGAAATTGAACTCAGTTCTGCACCTAGTGGACCTAATAGACATCTACAGAACTCTCCACCCCAAATCAACAGAGTATACATTTTTTTCAGCACCACACCACACCTATTCCAAAACTGACCACATAGTTGGAAGTAAAGCTCTCCTCAGCAAATGTAAAAGATCAGAAATTATAACAAACTGTTTCTCAGACCACAGTGCAATCAAACTAGAACTCAGGATTAAGAAACTCACTCAAAAACATTCAACTACATGGAAACTGAACAACCTGCTCCTGAATGACTACTGGGTACATAACGAAATGAAGGCAGAAATAAAGATGTTCTTTAAAACCAACAAGAACAAAGACACAACATACCAGAATCTCTGGGACACATTCAAAGCAGTGTGTAGAGGGAAATTTATAGCACTAAATGCCCACAAGAGAAAGCAGGAAAGATCCAAAATTGACACCCTAACATCACAAAAGAACTAGAAAAGCAAGAGCAAACACATTCAAAAGCTAGCAGAAGGCAAGAAGTAACTAAAATCAGAGCAGAACTGAAGGAAATAGAGACACAAAAATCCCTTCAAAAAATAAATGAATCCAGGAGCTGGTTTTTTGAAAGGATCAACAAAATTGATAGACCGCTAGCAAGACTAATAAAGAAGAAAAGAGAGAAGAATCAAATAGACGCAATAAAAAATGATAAAGGGGATATCACCACCGATCCCACAGAAATATTACCTACCATCAGAGAATACTACAAACACCTCTACACAAATAAAGTAGAAAATCTAGAAGAAATGGATAAATTCCTCGACACATACACCCTCCCAAGACTAAACCAGGAAGAAGTTGACTCTCAGAATAGACCAATAACAGGCTCTGAAATTGTGGCAATAATCAATAGCTTACCAACCAAAAAGAGTCCAGGACCAGATGGATTCACAGCAAAATTCTACCAGAGGTACAAGGAGGAACTGGTACCTATTCCAATCAATAGAAAAAGAGGGAATCCTCCCTAACTCATTTTATGAGGCCAGCATCATCCTGATACCAAAGCTTGGCAGAGACACAACCAAAAAAGAGAATTTTTAGACCAATATCCTTGATGAACATTGATGCAAAAATCCTCAATAAAATACTGGAAAACCGAATCCAGCAGCACATCAAAAAGCTTATCCACCATGATCAAGTGGGCTTCAATCCTGGGATGCAAGGCTGGTTCAATATACGCAAATCAAAAAATGTAATCCAGCATATAAACAGAACCAAAGACAAAAACCACATGATTATCTCAATAGATGCAGAAAAGGCCTTTGACAGAATTCAACAACCCTTCATGCTAAAAACTCTCAATAAATTAGGTATTGATAGGATGTATCTCAAAATAATAAGAGCTATCTATGACAAACCCACAGCCAATATCATACTGAATGGGCAAAAACTGGAAGCATTCCCTTTGAAAACTGGCACAAGACAGGGATGCCCTCTCTCACCACTCCTATTCAACATAGTGTTGGAAGTTCTGGCCAGGGCAATTAGGCAGGAGAAGGAAATAAAGGGTATTCAATTAGGAAAAGAGGAAGTCAAATTGTCCCTGTTTGCAGATGACATGATTGTATATCTAGAAAACCCCATGTCTCAGCCCAAAATCTCCGTAAGCTGATAAGCAACTTCAGCAAAGTCTCAGGATACAAAATCAATGTACAAAAATCACAAGCATTCTTATACACCAATAACAGACAAGCAGAGAGCCAAATCATGAGTGAACTCCCATTCACAATTGCTTCAAAGAGAATAAAATACCTAGGAATCCAACTTACAAGGGACGTGAAGGACCTCTTCAAGGAGAACTACAAACCACTGCTCAATGAAATAAAAGAGGATACAAACAAATGGAAGAACATTCCATGCTCATGGGTAGGAAGAATCAATATCGTGAAAATGGCCATACTGCCCAAGGTAATTTATAGATTCAATGCCATCCCCATCAAGCTACCAATGACTTTCTTCACAGAATTGGAAAAAACTACTTTAAAGTTCATATGGAACCAAAAAAGAGCCCACATCGCCAAGTCAATCCTAAGCCAAAAGAACAAAGCTGGAGGCATCACGTTACCTGACTTCAAACTGTACTACAAGGCTACAGTAACCAAAACAGCATGGTACTGGTACCAAAACAGAGATATAGATCAATGGAACAGAACAGAGCCCTCAGAAATAATGCTGCATATCTACAACTATCTGATCTTTGACAAACCTGAGAAAAACAAGAAATGGGGAAAGGATTCCCTATTTAATAAATGGTGCTGGGAAAACTGGATAGCCATATGTAGAAAGCTGAAACTGGATCCCTTCCTTACACCTTATACAAAAATTAATTCAAGATGGATTAAAGACTTAAACGTTAGACCTAAAACCATAAAAACCCTAGAAGAAAACCTAGGCATTACCATTCAGGACATAGGCATGGGCAAGGACTTCATGTCTAGAACACCAAAAGCAATGGCAACACAAGCCAAAATTGACAAATGGGATCTAATTAAACTAAAGAGCTTCTGCACAGCAAAAGAAACTACCATCAGAGTGAACAGGCAACCTACAAAATGGGAGAAAATTTTCACAACCTACTCATGTGACAAAGGGCTAATATCCAGAATCTACAATGAACTCAAACAAATTTACAAGAAAAAAACAAACAACCCTATCAAAAAGTGGGCGAAGGACATGAACAGACACTTCTCAAAAGAAAACATTTATGCAGCCAGAAAACACATGAAAAAATGCTCACCATCACTGGCCATCAGAGAAATGCAAATCAAAACCACAATGAGATACCATCTCACACCAGTTAGAATGGCGATCATTAAAAAGTCAGGAAACAACAGGTGCTGGAGAGGATGTGGAGAAATAGGAATATTTTTACACTGTTGGTGGGACTGTAAACTAGTTCAACCATTGTGGAAGTCAGTGTGGCGATTCCTCAGGGATCTAGAACTAGAAATACCATTTGACCCAGTCATCCCCTTACTGGGTATATACCCAAAGGAGTATAAATCATGCTGCTATAAAGACACATGCACATGTATGTTTATTGCAGCACTATTCACAATAGCAAAGACTTGGAACCAACCCAAATGTCCAACAATGATAGACTGGATTAAGAAAATGTGGCACATGTACACCATGGAATACTATGCAGCCATGAAAAATGATGACTTCATGTCCTTTGTAGGGACATGGATGAAATTGGAAATCATCATTCTCAGTAAACTATCACAAGAACAAAAAACCAAACACTGCATATTCTCACTCATAGGTGGGAATTGAACAATGAGAACACATGGACACAGGAAGGGGAACATCACACTCTGGGGACTGTTGTGGAGTCGCGGGGAGGGGGGAGGGATAGCTTTAGGAGATATACCTAATGCTAAATGATGAGTTAATGGGTGCAGCACACCAGCATGGCACATGTATATATGTGTAACTAACATGCACATTGTGCACATGTACCCTAAAACTTAAAGTATAATAATAATAAAAGAAAAAAGAAAAAAAAAGAAATATAACTATTGTGCAATTGGGGTAACACTTCCGAGACAACCATGAAGTAGGCAAAAATCCAACTGGTAAGGCATGTTTTAGGAGTGACTCAGGGGTCCGGAGTCTGACTTCCAAAGCCTTCTCAAGCATGTAGACTCTTTCAAGCCCTGGAGGCCAGGAAAAACCTAAAAAATACCCCTGCTTACAATTTATTTACTTCATGTTCCACAGCCAGTTAAATCCAGAGATGGGGATGAATTGGGAATTCATGAAGGAAGAATAGGAAAAAAAAAAAAACCATTTTATTTCCTACTGGAATGTCAAATGCCCTTATCCTAGATAGACTTGACAGACACATAACAAAACAGTAACATTTTGATACTAAGATATTCACATTCTTTATATTTTTTAATTGAATAACATAGGAATACACATAAAAAGAGATTGATAAATTAAAAGTATATGAGAAAACATATAGGGATATAAAACCAAAGAGAGAGGCCAATAGAACAATGTATGCCATAATATGTGCTGTTATGGGAGACATTAAGGTGACCCCTAGCTTTCTGGCAGTCAATGAGAAAAAGGAAAAACTGACCCATTACATAATTCACTGTCTTACTCAGGCTTTTTATTTGTTTATTTTTTTAATGCTCAAGAACGTGTACCAGAAAGAAACGTGTCTTGTAAGTCCTCATAAACATGGTACTGGGTAAGTAGTAAGTAACAACCCTAAGGATATCCTTACTATAGACCAGTGATTTAGTTTGAGTGTACGTCCCTGCCAAGTCTCATGTTGAATTATAATACCCAGTGTTGGAGGTGGGGCCTGGTAGGAGGTGACTGGATCATGGGGGCCGATTTCTCATGAGTGGCTTAACACCATCCCCTTGGTGCTGTCTTTGTGATTGTTAGTGAGTTTTCATGAAATCTGGTTGCTTAAAAGTGTGTAGCACCTCCCCGCATTCTCCTCTCTTGCTCCTCCCTTCACCATGTGACATGCTTTCTCCCTCTTCACCTTCCACCATGATTGTAGGCTTCCTGAGGCATCCCTAGAAGCCAAGCAGATACCTGCGTCATGCTTCCTGTAAAGGCTGCAGAACTGTGAGCCAATTAAATCTATTTTTTTAAATAAATTACCCAGTCTCAAGTTTTTCTTTATAGCCATGCAAGAATGGCCTAATACAACCAGTGTTTGTCAAACTTTAGCATGTATTGGAATCAACTGGAATCTTACTAAAGTACACATTGCCAATGCCACCCCCAAAGTTTCTGATGCAGTAAGTCTGGGGTGGGGCCCTTGCATTTGTATTTTTAACATGCTCCCAAGCAATGCTGCTGCTGCTTTGCTCCAGGGACCACATTTCAACAACCATAGCTGTAGACACAAGGCCTACTTTCTCAGGTCCTCTTCTTAAAGCATCCTTTCATATTGACTGATGACAATGTAGTAATTACAACTGAGTAGTTCCATGGAATTATGTCCAGCCCCCAGTAGGGGGTACTCATGTGGAGAGGTAATGGTCCCACCATTTCTCATTCAATATATTCACTATATCGTTCCTAAATGCAGTCCATCCCCATTGGCTTATTCATTGTGTTTCCCAACACAATTACAGATTGCTTCCTCATGCATCAAATTCTTCTGCAGCCCAGTCCACAGGGAACACTACCTATTAAAACCCAGCTGTCCCTCATCAGCAATCACAAAAACAACCTTTTCTTATTGATGACTGCCTTTTAAATGCCAACAGAGTTCTGCACCTATATTACTTGTTACTTAAATGTTCTCCTTTTATTATTCACCTATTATTTATCTCTTCAAAAGTAGGATATCTTGTATTTCCAACCACAGTTCAAAGTCTATGAGCCATGTATAATACATCCTTGTATCTCTAAAGCACACAATATAGTGCTTTGAATAAAATGAACATTGAATTATTTGAGAGCTAAACAAACACTTAAGGAAAAAGCTGTAAAAAATTAATGAAATGGCAACTAATATCAACAGAACAGATAACCTTATCACCATCATAAAATATCTGCTTTCCCATAAAGATGGGCTGTTTTAAAATAAGTGCTTTTCCATAAAGCTGGGCTGTTTTAGGTTAACTACGTGTTATTGAGAAAAAAGTGTATACAAAAAAATGTGATTTTATTAGCTATCTAATCAAATATATTATATAGTTATTCTCTTTGAATTCAATTTTTTCTCATATTTTAAAGCTGAATTCATTCCCTGATTCAATGAATATTTACTGAGAATTTACTATATGTAAAGTAATTTGAAAGCAAAGAGTACATTCTTAAGGAGCTCACACCACAATAGAGATGGACAGACACATAAACCCATAAATGCAACCCATGCAAGACTAAAGATACGTGCAAACCATGCTGGGAAAACAGAAAAGAGTGGTCAGGTTAGAGGTGGCAGGAGAGGGGCTTAGAAGCTTATCTATTCAAGATACGCACAACACATATTGGGGGTGGCATAGTTTGAAAAACAGGTCTCATAATGTTAGGAATTGGTATGTCTTGTACCGTAACAGATGAAAACAAGCAAACTAATCCATTAATCATCAGTCCACTGTGAGCAAGGGAAGCATGAAGAATCAGAGGACTGAGCTGACACACACAGTGATATGTTTTGAAAAGAGCCAGAAAGGATTTCTGGCTGGAGATCTCTCTCACCACCAGTTCCCATGGTCCTGACATTTCCCCATTAATAAGTCATTCCTAGACATCTTAAAGGCTCTCTGGTATTCAAAGGACCTCAGGTAAAATGCCATTTCTCCTAAAACAGAGTCTCTTAACCTTGGTGGCATGACTGACATTTTGGGTTGGATAATTTTTTGTTGTGGGACCTCTCTCATGCGTTACAGGATTTAGCAGCATTCTTAGCCTCTATCCACTATATGCTAGTAGCAGCCCGCCCCCAAGTCACGACAACTAAAAATGTCTCCAGACATTTTCAAATGTCCTCTAGGAGGCAAAATTGCCCCCCACTGACAACCATTTTCCTAGGAGATATTACACCTTAGATTGGTGTCAGCTGTGGTTCCTTTGTATGATCAAAGAATAGCTCAACTCTCTCTAGAGAGACAGTCCCTCCCTCACTCCATACAGCTAAAGGAAGAGTGACATGGCACTGCAGAATCAGGATGACAACCGCCCAGCCAATCTTATCTGCTATACTAGGTCTGGCTCTCAATGAAGTGACATGTGTCATGGATAGGTGACCATCACCTCCAATTGAAATTTAGGAATCAAACTATATGAACACAGGAGAGATTTGGGAGGGGGAGTGGAGGTGAATAAGAGTATTTCAAATAAAAACTACACAATTTTACACGAACTTGAGGAAGAGTCCAATTGAGGAAGAGCTAAATTAAATCTTTTTACTTCAGGTATATCATATAGTAGAAAAGGGACTGGAATCATGAATTATTGAGTGACTAATAATCTGTAAAACACATAGTTACTTTGATATGTTATTAATAATTATAAAAATAGTAATATCCTTTATACATATATAGTGTTTTGTAGCTCTGAAAATCCTTTTCGCATAGTGCCTTTTTAAAAAATTGGCAATGTATTCCTATATTTCAAAAATCAAAACAATCCCAAAAGGGAAACAGTGAACGGTCTCATTTCCACCCTTGTTATGACCTTTCCCTCCCCATTACAGATAAATATTTTAGTTTCTTCAGCATCCTTTCAGAATTTCTTTATGAAAATATAAGAATATACAGATACACATTCATGTTTTTCTATTTCTTACACAAAAGGTATTATGTTATCCTTGCACTGTTTCCAGTCATTTACTATTGCAAGCAAGGCTGCAGTAATTAGCACTGGCCATGTGTCATGTCATATGTGTAATCACTATCTATCTATCTATTTACTTACTTACTTATTTATTTATTTTTAAAGACAGGATCTCACTTTGTCACCCAGGCTGGAGTGCAGTAGCACAGTCATGGTTCACAGCAGCAGGATCATGATACACTGCTGCAGCCCCAAATTTGTGAGCTCAAAGGATCCTCTTCCCTTAGCCTCATGAATAACTGAGATTACTGGCATGTGCCACCATCCCCAGCCTCACTGTCTTTATCTAATCCTCACATCACATCAATCCTATGAGATAAGCAGGAAAAAGGATCATTCCTGCCTTTACAAATGTAATTATTTTATTTGTGTGTGTCAAAAAAAGACACATATAAAATATACCATATTAATCATTTTTACTTGTACAGTTCGGTAGTGTTAAGTATACTTTCATCAGAGTGATATCAGGGAAAATGGCAGATAGGACACAGCACTAACTTGCAGCTCTCATTCAGATGGACAGAACAGTGTGTAGGTGAACTTTTGCTCCAAGAACTACTGCAGGAACATACCAGGGAAACTAAAAGAATTCATAGACCCTTTGAAAGAAGCAGCTTGCTGCTGCAAACTCTGTGAGACAGCCAAAAAATTGTGAGTGCCCTAAGTGTGAGGGGGGAAAATTCACCTCTGAACACACATCCTCACTGGGGAACCTGAAAATCCACATCATGGGAGAAGGATTTAAACATACCTAGAGCTGAAATGAATTTAGAAAGTCGAGCAAACTGTAAAAGTAGAAGCAGCAGTGGGAAGAGCCCTGTAGGCACTCCCAGTCCCCAAGTAAGCCCAGGGAAGCCATTTCTGACTTTATCTCACAGGAGTCCTTGGAGACAGCAGCCAGTGGAATTGAGGAAGAGCCACAGGAAGAAGGAGATTTCCAGCTAAACTTCATAGTAATTTCGAATGAGCGTGCCTTTCCTGGGCCGAATCCAGGGATGGCAAATGGAAAGTGCAGATACAAGCCCAGAAACCATGGCAGGCAAAGAGGGGTGAGGCCTGAAAGCCCTGCTTACTTTCTCAGCAGGGAGGCTTGTAGCCTGAAGCAAAATCTCAGCCCTGCCCACTGGAGGCCTGGATATAAATTCGGCTCTGTTGGCTGTTGGGGAAGCATGGTGGAAGTGAGACTGGTCTTGCTGGCTGCGTGGGAACTGGGTGAGGCCTGTCACTCTCGGTTTTCCCCTATGTCCGTGGTGACCTGTACAAAGCAGCAGAGGCAGCCATAATACCCCTAGGAACATAACTCCACTGGTCTGAGAACCACTCCCCCATTCCCCATATTAACTGCAGCAAGCCCCGCCCAAGGTAAGTCTGAGCTCAGACACACCTAAACCTGTCCCTACCTGATTGTCTTTCTCTACCTATCCTGGTAGCCAAAGACAAAAGACATAATCTCATGGGAGCTCTATGGCCCCACTCATCACCTGAGAAACCTGAATACTTATCCAAGTGACTTTAGGGCAAGCTTGTATCCCCCCTATACTACTGCAGCTGATGCTCTCTTTAAAGCACCACCTCCTGGCTGGAGGGCAACCAACTCAAGTCATTACAGCAACTCATAACAGAACAACTCTGCTCCAAGGAGGAAGAAAACAATAGCTAATTCCATCACCTCTAACATCCTAGATAACCAGAGGTCCTGAACCAGTCCATACGACAACTTCACTGCTAGCATAACCAGCATTTGAGAAAACCAGCACACTAAACAACACTACAACCAAGGACTCTCACAGAGTCCATTTCACTCCCCTGCTACCTCTAATAGAGCAGGTGCTGGTATCCAAGGCTGGAAGACCTGAAGATGGATCATATCGCAAGACTCTTTGCAGACACTACCCAGTACAAGCCCAAAGCCCAGTAGCTCCACTGGGTAGCTAGACCCAGAAGAACAATAACAGTCACTGCAGTCCAGCTCTCAGGAAGCCCCATCCCTAGGGTAAGTGAAAGAGCACCACATCAAGGGATCGCCCCATGCGACGAAAGAATCTGAACAACAGCTCTTAAGCCCCAGATCTTCCCTAGGACATAATCTATTCAAATGAGAAGGAACCAGAAAAGCAATTCTGGTAATGTGACAAAACAAGGTTCTATAACACCTCAAAAGATCACACTAGCTCACCAGCAATGGATGTAAACCAAGAAGACATCTCTGAACTGCCAGAAAAAGAATTCAGAAGGTCTATTATTAAGCTACTCAAGGAGGATCCAGAGAAAGGTGAAAACCAACTTAAAGAAATTAATAAAATAACACAGGATATGGACAAAAAACTCAGAAAAATAGGTGGCATAAATAAAAAACAATCACAACTTCTGGAAATGAAAGACATATTTAGAGAAATGCGAAATACACTGGGAAGTTTCAACAGTAGAATTGAGCAAGTAGAAAAAAAAACTTCAGAGCTCAAACACAAGGCTTTTGAATTAACCCAATCTGACAAAGACAAAGAAAAAAGAATTTAAAAAAATGATTGAAGCCTTTAAGAAGTTTGGGATTATGTTACATGACCAAACCTAAGAATAATTGGTGTTTCTGAGAAAGAAGAGAAATCTAAAAGTTTGGAAAACGTATTTGGGGGAATAATTGAGGAAAACTTCCCTGGCTTTGCTAGAGATCTAGACATCTATATACAAGAAGCTCAAACAACATCCAAGAAATTTGTCACAAAAAGATCATCACCTAAGCACATAGTCATCAGGTTATCTAAAGTCAAGATGAAGGAAAGAATCTTAAGAGCTGTGAGATAAAGCATCAGATAACCTATAAAGGGCAACCTATCAGATTAACAGCAGATTTTGCAGCAGAAACCTTTCAAGCTAGAAGGGAATGGGGTCCTATCCTTAGCCTCTTCAAACAAAATAATTATCAGCCAAGAATTTTGAATCCAGCAAAACTAAGCTTCATAAATGAAGGAAAGATAAAGTCTTTTTCAGACAAACAAATGCTGACAGAATTCGCTACTACCAACCCAGCACTACAAAAACTGCTAAATGGAGTTCTAAATCTTGAAACAAAACCTCAAAATAGAATCTCCTTAAAGTATAAATCTTATAAAACGTAACACAAAGGCTGGGCGCAGTGACTCACGCCTGTAACCACAGCACTTTGGGAGGCCGAGGCAGATGGATCACAAGGTCAGGAGTTTGAGACCAGCTTGACAAACATGGCAAAACCCTGCCTCTGCTAAAAACACAAAAAATTAGCCAGGCGTGGTGGTGCGCACCTGTAATCCCAGCTACTCAGGAGGCTGAGGCAGGATAATTGCTTGAACCTGGGAGATGGAGGTTGCAGTGAACGAAGATCACACCACTGCACTCCAGCCTGGGCAACAGAGTGAGACTCCATAAAAAAAAAAGGAAAAAAAAAAAAAAAACCACAATGGGAAAAAAAGCAAGATACTCTTCAGGCAACAACTAGCACAATGAATAGAATAGTACTTAACATCTCAATACTAACGTTGAAATAAATGGCCTAAATTCTTCACTTAAAAGATACAGAATGGCAGAATGGATAAGAATCCACCAACCAAGTATCTGCTGTCTTCAACAAACTCACATAAGGACTCACATAAACTTAATATAAAGGGATGGAAAAAGATATTCCATGCAAATGGATGACAAAAGCAAGCAGAAATAGCTATTCTTACATCAGACAAAACAGACTTTAAAGCAACAACAGTTAAAAAAGTCAAAGGGGGACATTATATAATGATGAAAGGACTAGTCCAACTGGAAAATATCACAATCCTAAATATATATGCACCAAACACTGGAGCTCTCAAGTTTATAAAACAATTACTACTAGACCTAAGAAATTAGACAGACAGAACACAATAATAGTGGGGAACTTCATTGCTCCACTGACAGCATGAGACAGATCATCAAGACAGAAAGTCAACAACGAAACAATAGACTTAAACTAGAAACAATAGACTTAAACTAGATACCCTAGAAAAAATGGACTTAACAGATAGGTATCTACCCAACAGAACATTCTACCCAATAACTGCAGAATATACATTCTATTTATCATCATCTGAAACATTCTTCAAGATAGACCATATGATAGGCCACAAAACAAGTCTCAATAAACTTAAGAAAACTGAAATTATGTCAAGTACTCTCTCAGACCACAAAGGAATAAAATTGGAACTCAAGTTCAAAAGGAACGTGCAAATCATGCAAATACATGGAAATTAAATAATGTACTTCTGAACGATCATTATGTCAACAATGAAATCAAGATTGAAATTTTGAAATTCTTTGAACTGAACTCTAATAGTAACACAAACTATTAAAACTTCTGAGACAGGAAAAGTGGTGCTAAGAGGAAAGTTCATAGCATTAAATACCTACATCAAAATGTCTGAAAAAGTGCAAATAGATACTATAAGGTCACACCTCAAGGAACTAAAGAAACAAGAAAAAAGCAAACCCAAGCCTAGCAGAAGAAAGGAAATAACAAAGATCAGAGCAGAACTAAATAAAATTGAAACAAAAAAATACAAAAGATAAATGAAAGAAAAAGCTGGTTTTTTCAAAAAGATAAACAAAATTGATTGATCATTAATGAGATTAAACAAGAAAAGAAAGGAAAAGAGAAGAGCCAAATAAGCTCAACTAGAAATGAAATGGGAGATATTACAACCAATACCACAGACATACAAAAAACCATTCAAGCCTACTATGAATACCTTTATGCCCACAAAATACAAAACCTATAGGAAATGAATAAATTACCAGAAATATAAAACTCTTCTAGATTAATCCAGGAAGAAATAGAAACTCTGAACAGACCAATAACAAACAACAAGATTGAAATGGTGATAAACAAATTACCAACAACAAAAAAAGTCCAGGACCAGATGAACTCACAGCAGAATTCTATCAGACACTCAAAGAAGAATTGGTATTAATCCTACCAAAATTATTCCAAAAGATAGAAAAAGAGGGAGTCCTCCCCAAATCATTCTATGAAGCCAGTATCACCCTAATACCAAAACCAGAAAAGGACATAACAGAAAAAGAAAACTATAGACCAATATCCCTGATGAACGTACATGCAAAATTCCTCAACAAAATACTAGCTGAGTCCAGTAGCTTATCAAAAAGATAATCTGCCATGATTAAGAGGGTTTCATACCAGGGATGCAGGGATGGTTTAACATACACAAGTCAATAAATGTGATACACCACATAAACAGAATTAAAAACAAAAATCATATGATCGTCACAATAGATGCAGAAAAAGCATTTGACAAAATCCAGCATCGCTTTATGATTAAAATCCTCAGCAAAATTGGCATAAAAGGGACATAGCTTAAGGTAATGAAAGCCATCTATGACAAATCCACAGACAACACTGTACTAAATGGGGAAAATTTGAAAGCATTCCCCCTGAGAACTGGAACAAGACAAGGATGCCCACTTTCACCAATCCTATTCAACATGGTATTGGAAATCCTAGACAGAGCAATCAGATAAGAGAAAGAAATAAAGGGCATCCAAATCAGCAAAGAGGAAGTCAAACTGTCTTTTTTGGCCAATGATACAATTGTATATCTAGAAAACCTTCAAGACTCATCTGAAGAGCTTCCAGATCTGATAAATGAATACAGCAAAATTTCAGGATACAAAATCGATGTACACAAATCAGTAGCACTGCTATACACCAACAGCGACCAAACTGGGAATCAAATAAAAAACTCAATTCCTTTTACAATAGCTACAAAACAAAACAAAACAAACAAAAAACAACAACAAAAACAACAACAAACAAAACAAAACAAAACAAAAAAACTTAGGAATATACCTAACCAAGGAGGTGAAAGACCTCTACAACGAAAACTACAAAACATTGCTGAAAGAAATCATAGAATCATAGATGACACAAACAAATGGAAACACACCCCATGTTCATGGATGGGTAGAATCAATACCATAAAAACGACCATACTGCCAAAAGTAATCTACAAATTCCATGAAATTTTCATCAAAATACCATCATCATTCTTCACAGAACTGGAAAAAACATCCTAAAACTCATATGGAACCAAAAAAGAGCCTGCATAGCCAAAGCAAGACTAAGCAAAAAGAACAAATCTGGAGACATTACATTACCTGACTTCAAATTATACTACAAGGCTATATTCACCAAAACAGCATGGGACTGGTATAAAAATAGGCACATAGACCAACGGAACAGAATAGAGAACCTACAAATAAAGCCAAATACTTACAGCCAACTGATCTTTGACAAAGCAAACAAAAATATAAAGCGGGGAAAGGACACCCTGTTCAACAAATGGTGCTGAAATAATTGGCAAGCCACATATAGAAGAATTAAACTGGATTCTCATCTCTCATCTTATACAAAAATCAAGTCAAGATGGATCAAAGGCTTATATCTAAGACCTGAAACCATAAACATTCTAGAAGATGACACTGCAAAAACTCTTCTAAGACATTGGTTTAGGCAAAGAGTTCATGACCAAGAACCCAAAAGCAAATGCAACAGAAACAAAGATAAATAGATGGGACTTAATTAAACTAAAAATCTTCTGCACAGCAGAAGAAATGATCAGCAGAATAAACAGACCACACAGAGAGAGGAAGAAAATTTTCTCAAACTATGCAACTGACAAAGGACTAATATCCAGAATCTACAAGGAACTCAAACAAATCAGCAAGAAAAAAACCAAATAATCCCATCAAAATGTGGGCTAAGGACATAAATAGTAAATTCTCAAAAGAAGATATACAAAATGGCCAACAAACATATGAAAAAATGCTCAACATCACTAACTATCAGGGAAATGCCAATCAAAACCACAATGCAATACCACCTTACTTCTGCAAGAATGGCCATAACTTAAAAATAAAAAAATTATAGATGTTGGCATGGATGTGGTGAAATGGGAACACTTTTACACTGCTAGTAGGAATGAAAAAACAGTACAGAGATTCCTTAAATAACTAAAAGTACATCTACCATTTGATCCAGCAATCTGACTACTGGGTGTCTCCCCAGAGGGAGTCATTATATGAAAAAGACACTTGCACATGCATGTTTACAGCAGCACAATCTGCAATTGAAAAAGTATGGAACCAGCCCAAATGCCCATTAATCAACAAGTGGATTTTAAAAAATGTGAAATATATATATATACACACACACACACCATGGAATACTACTCAGTCATGAAAAATAAAATAATGGCATTTGCAGCAACCTGGATGGAGTTGGAGACCATTATTCTGAGTGAAGTAACCCAGAAATGGAAAACCAAACATTGTATGTTCTCACTTATAAGTAGGAGCTAAACTGTGAGGATGCAAAGGCATAAGAATGATACAATGGACTCTGGGGACTCAGAGGGAAGAATGGGATGGTAGTGAGAGATAAAAGACTACACATTGGGTACAGTGTACACTGCTTGGGTGATGGGTGAACCAAATTCTCAAGAACTTATCAATGTAACCAAACACCACCTCTTCCCCCAAAACTACTGAAATTATTTTAAAAGTATATTTCCATCATTATGAAACACATTTTTGGAACTTTTACCTCTTGCAGAACTGAAATTTTACACCAATTAAACAACAAATTCCCCTTTCTCCTGCTAGCAACCTCTGGAAACCACCTTTCTGTTTTCTATTTCTATGAATTTGACTACTTTACCTCATGTAAATGGGATCGTAGAGTAATTGTCTTTTTGCGTCTGGCTTATTTCACCTAGCATAATGTTTTAGCATGTGACAGGATTTCCTTGTTTTTAAGGCTGCATAGTATTCCACTCTACATTTGTACCATATTTTGTTTATTCATTCATTTGTCCATGAACATGTGGCTTGCTTCTGCCTCTTCCTGGCTATTGTTAATAATGCTGCTGTGAATGTAGATGTGTAAATGTGTCTTTGTTACTCTGCTTTCAATTATTTTGGTTACAGTACACTCAGAAGTGGAATTGCTGGATCATACAGTAATTCTTTCTTTAATTTTTTGAGGACATGCCATCATATTTTCCATAGCATTTGCACCATTTTACCTTTGCATCCACATTGCACAAAGGGTCAAACTTGATTCTTAAATACCACGAAGTTGGCAATATTATATATGCAGAAACCAAGACATATGCTGCAGCCTTACAGATAATACAGGGTGGAATTGAAACATGCCCCAGGTCTTAACACAACTTAGTGCCTTGAATTATTCTATTTACTGCCTAAAATTCTCAGTGGTGTAAATGATACAAATGTTATTTTCTGTCATGGCTAAGTGTGATTATCTCTGTCAGAGTCTCTGTGAGAATTTCAGTGAATGGATTTGTCTACATTTTGAGAGTTTAAATCCTTCCCCTTCTTTCTCAGTTCTGCTACTGTTCACTTCCAGCAGCACCACCCTGTCTTACATTCCAAAATTATAGAACATAGGTACACCAGCTCATTGATTGTTATCCATGCCAAGTTACAGTCCCTCTCCACTATTCATAAATTAACTGAAGTCTTGAACTTGGAAACAGAATGATGCCCCATTGGCCTAGTGCTCGAGAAGGAGTCCTGAGTGGCTAACACCGTAACCTGAGCTACATGTGTTTGCTAACCCTGCAAGATGTTATCTCTGGGCCAGGCACATGAAGCCAGAGGAAGAACTAACTCTTGGCTGTATTGCTGGATTTTTCCACCAAAGAATTATTGCAGGAAGACAGGTCACAAAGTCAAGGCATATATTACCAAGCAGGGAATACCATCTGAGGCAAAAACAAATACCAGCAGGAAAAAAGGAAAGCCTGACCCACTCTCCCTCACACGTCTCACCTCAAAGATGTTAGTAGTTGGAAGCTGTTTCAATAATGATAGTCAAACTTGATGACAATGCTCTCAAAAACCATCCATGCAATCCTGTTATTTTACATCTCCTTGGTCAGGCAGCCGATGAAGAAAGGAAGGTCATTGCCATGGGGAAGGATGTGACTGAATGTCGTCCTGCAGACCTAATACTTTCCTCATTTACACGTGGCTCAGATCAGCTTTCTAAGGTTTTTGTGCTCTAAATTGTCAAGGGACCTGCTGTTAAATATAAAATAGTGATCTCTGACACTGGTGTGCACATATCAACATTTAAAGAAAGGATGCTTTTTAAACATGAATGAAATAGCAAATAATGTGCTAAAAACTGGAAACTGACATATCAAGACGAACTAGAAATACACTCCCCTATAGAAGAAGACATTGAGGAAATTTGCCTGTCTTGAATTTGGCATTGGATAAACGGGAGAAAACATCTTCCTGAAGAATTTATAATTGCATTCCGGCACGTATGTGGGTTTGGTACCCAATTTTGCACTTCCACTTTGGTACAAAGAAAACTGAATTCAATCCAAGGCCTTGGGAAATAAGTCTTGACCCCTCTAGGTCCTTCTTCTCTTCAATGATCAAAGCCTAAATCTTATAATAAATTATCTAATTATTCATCTTCACATTGCACTTTCTTATAGATTGTAAATACCTCCGGAAATCAATAACACATGAAGATATTATTAGCCAGGTATCTACTGTGACTCCATTTATAACTATTAATATAGCTAAAGCAGTGAATTCTTCTGAGTCTCAGAATTCATCAGTTCCCAAAGACTGAACCATGTTAAGGAATGGAAGGTAATTGGAACTGACATTTTGAATCAGGTGTCTATTAAAATGATTTCTTATTTAATTTAATAAAATTCCTAACGTGCAGGTTATAATTATTGTTACCATTGCCAACTGAAGCATAGCAATGAAGTAACTCACCTAAAGTCAGAATAAGTAAATCCAAACTACATTTCTAGTCCACTATATACATTGCCTCGCTAAGCTTCTTTCTACACATTCTATTGTTATGGCAGAATTTAAAAATCAGAACTTGTTTGCTGCCCTATAGTTAATAATATGTCCTCTATTATATATTATAATACATATTGTAGTAACTACACTTTACTGTATTTAATCTTCTCCCCAGTGAAAGGAAATTTGATGTAATAATTTATCCTCATTTATAGATTAATGTCTCAACGTGAATAAAACATCTGAAAGAGTCCAGGCGCGGTGGTGTATGCCTGTAATCCCAGCACTTTGGGAGGCCGAGGCAGGCAGATCACCTGAGGTCAGGAGTTCAAGACCAGCGTGGCCAACGTGGTGAAACCCTGTCTCTACTAAAACTACAAACATTAGCTGGGTATGGTGTGCCTGTAATCCCAGCTACTCAGGAGGCTGAGGCAGAAGAATTGCTTGAACTCAGGAGACGGAGGTTGCAGTAAGCAGAGATCCCGCCATTGCACTCCAGCCTGGGTGACAAAAGCGAAACTCTGTCTGAAAAAAAAAAAAAAAAAAAAAAGCATCTGAAAGTAATTGTGACTGGCTCTTGAAGGAAAAGAGAGCAATTGCTCATCATTCCTGTATATCTTAGAGGGTCTACTGGGTTCTGCGGCCTCTGCATGTATCAGTGAGCAAGGCAGGTGAGAAAATTGCTCTTAAGAAGCTTACATTTTAATGGGGAAAGACATTAACTAAACAAATAAAAAGATTAATAATAGCATTTAAGAAAATGGTAATGGCTACAAAGAAATAGAATGTGAGTACTCAAAAGAATGATTCAACATCAAAAACATGTCATTACATGAGACACTGAAAAAAATCAATGCTTAGGAGACAGAGCTGAAATCTTTACATTAGAAAGTTTTTAAAGCTAAAATTTAAATAGCAACCAAATTAGGAAGTTAAAAAAGAACAGCAAGGAAGAAAGGAGAAGAATGAAATGATAAAGCTGAATTTGAAATTACTAAAATAGAAGGCAAAAATGAATTAGAGAAATTATCAGAGCCATTATTATTCTGTATAAATGCTAATAAAATTGACAGCATCATGGCAGAATGGATCAAGACAAAAAGACACATTTTTAAAAAACTATGTTATCAAAATTGACTCCAGAAAACTTTTAATAGAAAACTAGCCTTTTATGACAGTAAATCATTAATTTAAAATCATAAAAAGAAAGAAAAAACCCTAGGCACATCAGTGTAGCTAATGTAAATCAGTCTAATTTACAAAGAAAAGGATTTGGTGTAGGGTATTCATCTTTATAAAATCTCTGCTAGGGTTGAAGAGCAGACTCAAGGCCAGCAGTTGGCAAACATTTTCTGTAAAGGAAAAAAATCATAAATTTTTCAGGCTTTATGGGTCACATACAACCTCTGTCACATATTATTCTGCTTTTGTTTGTTTTTATTTTTGTTTTTGATTTTTAACAACCCCTTAAAAATATAAAAACCATTTTTAATTCAAGGGTTATATAAAACATGCCATGAATCAGTGCTGCAAGCTGCAGTTTGCCAAGTCCTGCTCTAGGCTGAACATTCTGGAAGGATTCCCAGAAATTAATTAAAGGAGCTTTCAAAGGAGTAAGTACACCAGGAAAGAGGAAGATGTGGGATCCAGGTAACAGGCAATCTAACACATGAGAGAAATGAAAGAAATTCCCTAGTGGAAGAGAAGAAATGCTTGCTCCAAGAGGATATTGTGTAGCAGGCCTGGAGGGCAATCAACTCGTGTGAGAGCAGGAGGAGGAAGGTTCTGGAATATTGACTTCAGGAAAAAGATGAAACTGATAGGTTTAACTGATGTATTTAACTACATGAAAGGGAGTTTTACTGATTATTGGTGAGTTAAAGGATGAATTTGTGTTAGCTGCATAGAAAACCAAGCAAACTAAAAATCAGAGCAATAATTGACTACAGGAAAAATGATCAGCTATACAAAAAGGGAAACGAAATCATAGTATCCTACATGATTCAATTATTAATAATTAGGGTAGGAATGAAGAAGCATGTAAGAATGTTAAGCACTCATTTTCTGAGCAAAATGTCAATAAATAATTAACAACTTTAAAATTGAGAAATGCTGGGCGCGGAGGCTTATGCCTGTAATTCCAGCATTTTGGGAGGCCAAGGTGGGAGAATCACTTAAGGCCAGGAGTTAGAGACTAGGCTGGGCAACATAGTGAGAACTATCTCTACAAAAAATTAAACAAAATTAGCCTAGGGTGGTGGCATGTGCCTGTAATCCCAGCTACTCGAGTGACTGAGGTGGGAGGATCACTTGAGCCCAGGAGGTCAAGGTTGCAGTGAAATGAGATTACACCACTGGACCCCAGCCTGGGCAACAGAGGGAGATCCTTATAATAAAATAAAATATAAAAAATAAAATAAAAATAAATAAGAATAAAATTAAATATAAATACAATTCAAGAAATTATCATATAAGCACATAATTATTTAAAACATGGTACTAAATGTTGGAAGATAGCCAATGTTCTGATTGAAAGTTCCTACCTTCTAGTCCCATATCATCTGCCTCTTAATAATGGCAAAATGAATCTGGTTTTTCAAGGAGGCAATAATTGATTCTGGGGCTCTCAAAGATCTATTATTAATTTTTCTGCCCATGATGTATAAAACCAATTTACTTTATTGGATATGTGCATTTTTAGCTTTATGTAAATGCTATTACTCTCTTAGTATTGTGATATCTAGATGCTCCAAATGTCTCCCCATGAGCAGTACCATGTTCCAGAGGATATGCTTAGTGCTAAGCTATTATCTGCCATTCCTGATAATGGATTCCCTTTCAAAACTCAATAACCTGGCATATACATGAAATATAATAGCAATAATAGCAATTCACACATTTTTGTCTCCTGTTCACTCAGGACCTACCCCTGTCAGTATCTTTTGAAATGTCTTCTAATTTCAAAATAATAATAATTATTGAAACCTGAGAAGAATGGAAGAGAGTGGTTTTGTTATCCACATTTACATGGGTCATTGCTAACTCTTTGCTTTACTTCTTGCTCTTTAAAATTAGAGCACTTTATTTTCTATCTTCAGGAAAAGCTAATTAGGGAAATAAAATGCCCTCAAAATTCTTATTGGCTTTCTGTGCTACTGTGTTCAACATGAACTAAAGCTTAACAATTAGTTCCTATTTTCCTATAGTTCTAATAATTTTTATATCCTTCTTTCTTCACATATGTGTGTGTTTATTTTGTGTATTAATATACATATTTACAATAGACTATAAAAGCTATGTCCATGCATCTATGTAGATATATATATATTTCAACCACTGTATATTATCATTATATGTTTTCATCCAATTATAAAAATATAAAATATTATTGATCTATAGCACTCTATTTTCCCATAGCTGTCCATTTCAGTTGAGGTTTCCATGACTGTTGTTTGCTGATAATTGCATGCATTTACTGATTTGCTTATCACTTCCTTATTGTACTACCTACTGTGTCATTTGTAATGTCAACTACAAATACGTTTTGAAAAGAATGAGATACAAATAAATCTAATAAATAAAATATGAATCAAAAAACTGTGTGGAAAAGATATTTATGGCATATATTTAGGAGGCTTTACTATGTTCAGGAGATGATACAGACTACTGAAACCACAATTGATAATATTTTATTAAAATTAGATGCTTGGATTATGATCAGTGAACCGTATGCTTACATATGCCAATGGCTTTTAGTTTAATCACTTTTGTCTAAACCTATCATGTCTTAAATATATGTTGATGCCACGGTAGTTCTAGAATATCTAAAATTTCTAGCCCAATGAGAAACAATGCCATTTTATATTTTTATACATTTTTATAAATGTTAAAAATGTGGATAAACAGCTATCAGAATGGAGTTGCTAGTCAAAGTCTACAATCTTTCAATGCTCCCTAGCCCATCTCTCTAGTATGCATTCTTATTGGCCCATTTCCAAAGAGCTGCAAGTTTGTGTTGAAAGCCGTGGGCACATCCCTGTGACTACAATGCTATGGTACAGTGGACAAAGTCCACAGAATTCTCCCGAAGGTAGAAAAGACATTAAATGGCTTTCTTTCCTTGAGTTCTTAGCTGGAGACAGAACAAAGCAACCTGTTCACTGCCCTCTACAGAAATTTGAATCTAATCAAGGGCTAAAAATTAATCATGTTTTTACAGGAAGAACGACATCAGGAAGCTTTTCTAGCTGGGGGGAAAAATGAGGATGGAAATAAAGCAATGCACTTCACAAATTTGAGAGTTCTGAAAATGACTCATCAAGCAATCATGTCAGGAATGCCTGGCTGTTAGCAGATGGCTGGTTGGGGTGTCAGACCAGCTTCTTGAGATCCAGGTTGAGGGATAGTGTCTCTCCTTCAGAACAGACCTTGGTGTAAACTTGCTGGGATCCACTCCAATCTAGGGATGGAGACTGTGGTCTTCTAAGGGGAGTTGGAGGGTGCTGTGCTCTCAGCTGTTGGTTGAATTTGGAAGGAGGAGATTTGTCTCAACACTCTTGTCTGTATCCTGAAACAATAGAAGCAGCCCTGCCTAGTGTCTTGGTGGGGCTCCAAGTTGATGCAGCACATTTTTGGAAGTGCATATATTTCTGGGAGTGTGGGTAGTGATTCAATTCATACAAATATATGCCCTTAGATGTGACAAATACCACCTTGTCTATTACCTTTTAATCTCAGTTAATCATGCGTCATGATTAATTATGATGCTTCTTATTTACTGTATAATACAATGTAACTTTTATATCATTTAATTTTTCATGTAATTCTCTTATCTACCTCAGCCAACTGTTAAGCTCATTAAGAGCAGGGATCGTGCTTTTTACTCTTTTGTGATCCCCCCACAGCATCTTATTATCATCTTTTCAACCAAAACATTGTTATTAAGAGTCTCTGATGTCCATGGACTATTTTTTCAGAGGTGATAGTTGTTATAAAATAAAAAACAGACTGTCATAACATAACACCAAAACTGGCTTGTGAATATGGGTTGTAGTACACTTATTTGGAAATAAGCCTTAAGATTGGGTTATTTAAGTGGGGTACCTACTAATGTAACTATTCACGAGACACAAGAATCATGACAGTAATAATCAGGGACGCATTATTGAGTTTAACAATACCTTAGAGCAGTGTTTCCCAAACTGCCCTCTTTGGTGTGACAGTTACAGCATAAATCAGTAAATCAGTAAGTGTTCAATGCACACAATGTTTGAATGATTGAGTTTGGGAAATGGTGCCTATTATATCACTCATATGAAAACTTCCCAATGTGTGTAATTATAGTAATGATTCTGTCAAGTCTTCTGTTAAGAAATCTGCTTAACTTTGTTTAACTCCATGTATTCTTGCAGGCCACCCCCCTTTAATTTTTAATGACTTATGAATTTTTCAAAAGGCACTCGTGTTCCAAGGAGCACCATTTGGAAAAGGTTCCCTAAGGAGTTTATTCTTTATATCAGTTATTTTTGATGACAACAAAGGGGCTTGTTGGGGAAAACCACAGCTGCTGTCTGTAATGAGAACGACATGCAGTTTACTCTGCCTGTGTCATTGGTACACTGTCTCTCCTTCCTGAGAAGCAGACACCAACTTGTAAGCAGGAGGGTAAGGGAGTAGTTTTTAGGCTAATTTTTATCTTTTCCCCTTCTCCCCCACACTTACCAGTCTTGCCTGTCCTTTTTTGTAGTGGAGTACTCATTTCCAGATTCTCATCCCATATTACTAAATGTCAACAAATTATTAATATGTCCTTTAATAACCACAGAAATGAGTTGTTGCTTATTGTTGAATCTGTTAATCCTTTCAACTTGTCTGTGTTCTCTCCGTAAGATCAATATTCTGTGATATTTGAGAGAGAATGAAAGAGACATAATACCTGCTCTCTTGATAGTTTTTTCCCTTTATCCCCTAGAATATTTTGTGATGATTAATAACCCATGTCTTCAAGTTCTTCCCGCAACTACCTTCATTGCCTTATCCCATAAACATGTTCAAGTCTCCTTTGTGCTAAATCAAACTCTCTTGACTCTGCTTGGTTATAGCATTGTTCTTCTCATTCTATTTTCGGCCAAATTTCTAGGAAAAAGTTATTTCTACTGTTTCTACTTATACCTCCAATTTATGCTTCAGTCCCCTACAATCTAGTTGATACCACATGCTTGTCCAACCCACTCTACTGGTATTGTTCTACGAACACCAATAACCATATCTCTGTCGTCATCCTGCTTGATTTTCCTGCTGCTGTAAATCCATTAGCCAGAGTCTTCGTGAATTCTATACTCTCATGGTTTTAGTTATACCACAGCTTCTTGGTTATTCTCATTCTCGGTCACTTCATGAGATTCTCTCTGTCCATCCAGCCTTAACTTTGGTGTTTCCTAGTGTCTGTTCTTGTTCACACTCCTCACTCTACTTGTTCTTTCTGGAGAACTTATTCCATTCTCAAATATTTAGCCTCTTTTTGTTTGCTGATGACTGGCAATTGCCAGTCTTTAGCATGGGCGTCTCCCCTGTATCTCAGACTCATGGAATCAAATGTCTCCCCAACACCTTTATCTGGATGCATAACAGGAACTCACACTCAACATATTCAAAATAGAATTCTTTATTCCTTCCTCCTATCTCACAAAGATTTACTCTTCCAAAGGCTAATCCTTACCACAGTTGATGGCAACATCATAGTCTTTGTCATCCCCTACAGAAACCTGTGTTCCACCTCCACTCTCCCTGTCACCTTCTTCTCTTTTCTTTCTGTCACCTTCAACATGAATGGGTCACTTAACCCTTTCAGTTCTATCACCTTGCCATACAGAATAGCCTCTGAACGGTAGTCTCGCTCATTCTAATTCATTGGCCTGTTAGAATAATCTATCGAAAATATAAATCTTGCTAGAAACTGGTGTGAGATTCTGATAGGCTACTGTCTACAGCAGCAGTGCTCTTTCAGGTAGGCTACAAATTCTTCACTTTTTCAACTACTTATCTCTGTGAGACTGGATTTTTTCAGACGTTTCAACGAAATCAACATAACACAGCAGATTGAATGCAGAAACAGATTTGAGAACCCAGCTGTCTTCTGTTAAGCCAGACATTAAAGAGACTTGCAAAAATATAAAGCGATGCCACCCTTCTCACTAAATTTGTTTCTTGTTTTGGAAAATATAGCTTTTTATAAAAATATGTTACTTAGGTTAACATGTAATAGAATTGCTTATTGTTATTTTAAAATGAAAGAATAAATAAATATTTTTAAATGCCTCAGTTGTAATGTCTAACACAGTAAATAGAGATTGATGGAACTCATGTATACCAAGTTAACTGGAACAGACAAGGCCTAAATTTTGTTTTTAAAGCTGATACACTTATTCTGTTTATGGCAAAAAGCCTACCAGCCTGTATGAGTCAGCATCACTTTATTAATTATGAGTGGGCCCCTTTCCACCTTTAGACTTGAAGCTAAAACTGAAATGCTTAGGTCATTAATCTTTGTACTGCAATGTTCATGTAAGAACTCATGCCTGTGGAATTCTCTAACTGAATCAGCAATTTCAAGAATTTTGAAGAATATTCTACTAAATGTCCCACAGGCTTAATACCTTTCCAACCAGTACGCGCAACACATAAATAAAAATAAATCAGCATGATTTGCTAACAAGGACTTAGCCCTGATCTGCTTTTACTACTAAACGGGAATGGAAGCCATGCGTGCTGAGAAAAACATGTCTGGTTACACAGTTTATAGTTTACAGAGTTATTAGTTTCCAGTTATGATGCATGAGGATCTGAAAGTAATGATATATGTATAATGATCTGAAAGTAATGACATTCTTCTATTGATAAGAAGAACAATATCATGATTCTGGTTAATATGCATATATGTACATAGCTATGAATGTGTACAGGTATGGGGATGTGTACTGTTATGTGTATATGTATGGGCATGAGTGTGTACATGTGTAGGACTATGGCTATGCATCTGTGTATGTGTACATGGACAGGTATGTGTTTGTGTATGTGTATGGGTATGGACATGCATGTATGTATGTGTATGGCTGTGTGCATGTTTATTGGCATGTTTATGGCCATATGTCAGTGCATGTGCATGGCTACAGGTATATGTATATGTGTATGTGTGGGTATGGGTGTGCGTGTGTCTGTGTGTACGTGTATAGCTATAGTTATGTGTATATGTACAGGTATGGCTGTGTCTGGGTATGTGTATAGCTATAGGTATGCAGTAATACCTGGGTAAACAAATCTTAGGGGGTGGGCATGGAGATAGGTTTCATTCCTGACAACAAAATGTTCTGTTATTCCTTAATCTCCTTCTGCTTATTACCCTATGTTCCTCCTTTCTCTTTTCCCTCCCTCCTTCCTTTCTGTCTTATTCTTCCTCTATGTCCAGCAGCTCCCAGTCTTAGCTTTCAGAGGCTGTCTGCCCCAGGTCATGTGTGGCTTCTGGGGAAAGGAGCCTACTGACACTCCTCAAAGTCAGCGGGCCTGCATTCCAGGCACTGCTGCTCAGAATGACGCAGGACCCTCGCAGCAAGGGATGGCCTGCGGCTCCCAGGGATATGCTAGAACACTCAGATGCAATCTGACAGGCAGCTTCAGTGATTTGAAGGAATTCACAAAGAACGTTTTGCCCCTCCTGGGTGAGTTGAGCTCCCTGAAACTGTCACTCTCCTTTCCCTCCATTGCTGCGCAAGGGCAGGTTGCAGACCCTAACCCACACTCTTTAGACAAAAATAGGGCTGTTTATTTGCCTGAGAGACACAAGGGTTTGAAATGTCTTAAAATTGTCCCTCATCATATGCCATTCAGTTAACCTTCTCCCAAATCTCACATCCCCATCCCCAGAAAAAGGAAAGAGGAGGAGAAAGAGGAACAGGAGAAGAAGCAGATAGCACTGTAATCTCCTTAAGGTAACAAAATATTATCTATTTCATAGTGAAAAGAGGCACTGAATGACATCGACTGTTGAGTCTCCTTGCATATTTGGGTCTGATTTTTATTGCTTCTGTGAAGGAAATTGATTAGAGAAAAAATGAAATCCTACTCCTCTCTATTTTAGTGTAAAATGTGCCCAGAATTTTAGGTTGATAAACAACTGAGATGTATTATTTTTTCAAGGCAAACATGTCTTAGGCTTCCTCCTGCAGAACCCTTGTAAAGTGAATCATTCTCTGAGTTTACTTGCCTCATATGAGTGATTTAATCCTAAGCTGCAGATGAGTATGAAATTGACTTTTTGAAAGTAAATTTTGTGTTTTATGTGTTTCATGTTAAGGACTGGCTGCTAAAAAAAATCATTGACATTTGACTCATTAAAATTTCCAAAATGTGCATGTGCAAGATTTTGAAGGTATAGGTCAGGTTATTCAAGTGTAACTTAAGCCATATGCCACAAACTTCTAAGAATCCCATTGAACAAAGATGACAACATTATTACAAATAAATAAATGAAGTCAAGAAAATTTACATTAATCATCTTAAGTCTACTTTGGATTTTGAGCCCAATAGTTTATCCTTAGGGCAATTCTTTCTCTCTCTCTCTCTCCTTTTTCTCTCTCTCTAACAAAGAGCCAGAAAATCACTTGTCAGCTTGAGAAAACCCATCCAGAAATATTCACCAATTTGTGTTTCTCAACAATAGGAGAATTGGCATTGTTAAAGAATGTGAAGACCCCTCCTAATTTTAGGTGCATGTCTGGGCATTCTGAGGTTTGCTCATCCCCTGGGCAACCCAGAGCATAATATTTTATTGTGTTACGTCCTTTAATGGCTTTGGGTTTGCACTACACCAGCATAGCGCACCCTAGTACTGCTGATTTTCAATGACTCAACAGGTTCAGACTCATAGACAAGAATTTCAGAACCATCGCCCAGGCCTGAATCAACCAGGACTAAATCCAATTCATCACCTTGCAGTGAGATTTGTTTATTCTTGTTCCAAATGTGGTTCAAAGAAAAACAAAACCTAGGGAATCTTGGTACAATTTGTCAGCTTGCAAATAGCAATTATTTTAATGACACTATATAGAATAGACTCGGTCACCCTGCCACTACTAGAATTCTTTTGACTTCTTTTACTTGACCAAGAGAGTCAGAAACAAGTCATCAATATTATTTATTGTTCTTAAAGAAAAAAAATGAATAATATACAAAGCCTTTCAGAAAAAAAAGATGGTACATCAGAATATTCATAATCCTTCCATTGTCTCCGGTTTTTGTTATTTAATTCTTACCCTGTTTATGGGTGCTCTTTGGAGCCCCATTTGTGTTTATTGGCAGGAATTATCTCAGGGAACATCTGTCTCATATAAATCTCCATTGAATTTTTTGGACCTTGGTTGAAATGGTACTAATCATATTATTGATAAATTACCACATATTGTATCATTCAACTGCAACTCTATTCTGGGAGTAGTAAATCCTGAAACTCTGGAAGTGGTCCCATTGACAAATTGGGTGTTGGGGTCCCACCAGTAACTCTTTGCAATTTTTTTTGAGACAGGGTCTCGCTGTGTCACCCAGGCTGGAGTGCAGTTGTGCAAACACTGCTTAATGCAGTCTCAACCTCCCAGGCTCAAGAGATCTTCCCACCTCACCCTCCTGAGTAGCTGAGATCACAGGGGCCACCATGCTTGGCTAATTTTAAAAATTTTTTTGTTAAGGTGGGGGTCTCCTTATGTTACCCAGGCTAGTCTCAAACTCCTGGCCTTAAGCGATCCACTCGCCTCGGCCTACCAAAGTGCTCGGATTACAGGCATGAGCCACAGGGCCTGGCCACTCTTTCCAAATTCTAACATCTCTAGTGAATGCCATTTTTCTCACTGACTTTGAAGATGATCCTTCCCACCACTGATGGAATAAAATCCCTAAGAAGGGCAGATGGGTATGGGGGATGGGGGATGGTGAGGAGATAGACTCTTCCCCAGCCACAACCGAAACTCTTACTGCCCCTGACTATTTCACAGTACAGCAAGGACACCATAAACAACCTATGATTTCCAAAGGGTGCTCTACCTTTGCTTTAAAGATAAATTTAAAAAGAATCTTTCCAACCTCTTGGAAAGAATTACTGATAGGCAGAAAAGTCTATTAGAAAACGCCACAGCTTGGAAACCATGGAAAGTTTCTGTTTTTGTGTGATTTGAGCTGGTCAATGTTGTGGAGTAAACTGATAATTCTTCTTCCCTGCCAGCATTAGGAGAAATATCCTTTAGCTTCTTTCAAGAGAGCGAGGCCCGCCTCTGAGCTTAAATCAACTACCTCAGGACACTGGATGATGCTCTCACTGTTTATAGAGACGGTTGGAAACAAGTCTTGCAAGGTATTTGGATAGAACTGACTGTTGTGGGTCAAGACCACAGCTATACAAATTGTTATTTAAAAACTATGACATCAATTGTGGTATTTCTTAGTGTTAGAGTGAGATATTTTTTTTTATGTCCTTTTGTGGGACAATGTATTTGCTAGCCATGAAAACTCTCACACAGCTTGTCCAAACACACTTTGCCTGTGACATGCAATCCATCTTCCTTCAACTGAGGTAAATCATTTCTCAGAAGTCTACAAGAAGCTCCAAATGAGGCCAGGCACAGTCGCTCACGCCTGCAATGCCAGCACTTTGGGAGGCCGAGGCGGGTGTTATCAATTGAGGTCAGGAGTTGGAGACCAGCCTGGCCAACACGGTGAAACCCCCATCCCTACTAAAAATACAAAAATTAGCTGGGCGTGCTGGTGCGCGCCTGTAATCCCAGCTACTCGGGAGGCTGAGGCAGGAGAATCGCTTGAACCAGGAAGGTGGAGGCTGCAGTGAGCAGAGATTTTGCCACTGCACTTCATCTTGGGCAACAGAACAAGATTCCATCTCAAAAAAAAAAAGAAGCTCCAAATGCCAATCATGAGTAAAGAGATAAGCCATACTTAAACTGAAGTTTGGTTGTTTCCATGAGCAGGTAGGTTACTAAAGTGAACATCTTGGAGATCCCATACAACACATGGATCAACAGAGCCGCTGATGAATTAAACACTCTGGTATCTGAGCATACAATGTTTTGTTCTGCTTGTGATGGCAGGAGTTAACATTTGAGTCTATTGAAATTCAAATAGGGCCTCCCTTAGCAATTTATCCATGTCTATCTTTGGGATTTATCTATCTCAGTTTGTGTCCCAGTCATATATGAGTCCCTGCTCTAACTCTAACCAGACAATCTCTAACATGGATATGACTGGTTAGAGACAATAATACCCATGTTGGCTGGATACAGGTCTGAATTCCTTTTCCTTACTCAGTATTACTCTAGTAAGAAAGAGTGCATACTCTTGGTAAATAAATTGTTAATGAGTATAAGTAGATATTGTCTGAAGAATATTTTGTTTCTTCTAAACAGGCATACATTTATACAGAGAGACATATGTTGATGACTACATTCTTAGGACTGAGAAACTTTTTGTTCCTGTTCCTGGGTAAATGATATTTAATTTATTTTGGAGAAAAATTTCTATTATTGGTTTTTCACACTTTCAAAACGCAGGACAGACACAAGGAGACAGACTGGTTGATTTTTGGAAGTAATTTGATGTTTCTCTAATATTGGCCTTAACTTCCAATTGATGTTTAAGCTAATTTTCTTTTAAAAGAGAAGTTAGTTACTGCCTCCCTTAAAAAAGAAAAATAAAACTCCTAAGAAACCTATCAAAATATCAAAATACTTTATATAATTAATTACAAGTTAATAGTTATAGCCAATAATTAAAATTGTAAATCTTAGATGTATTCAGTGATCCTCTGAAAAATGTAAGCTGAAATTTCACTTCTTTATTGGATTGCTCTCTGTTCTACCAGGCTTTGTCTAATTATCAAAAGAAAAGTAATATAAACTATACTTGATTAAACATTGTGGACAGAACGAAAACCCCAAATAATTTCTTTTTACCATGCAGCTCCTAAGGAAAAATACCTTCAAAATGCTGCAAGCACAATTTATTTAAATCACGCGACTTCCAGGTCTATTGCATCCAACAGATGGAGAGGACTTTTTGCCCTGTCCAGACAGACACCAAGTTTAAAAACATGTTTAAAAAGCCCAAGCACCTTTTTGATCTAACTTTAAAAAGCATTGTCAATGTCAAGAACACGGTGACTGTGGCTTGTTTATTATGCTAGGAGGAGTCTTCTATGTTGTATTGTTTGTGTGGTATGAAGTGACATTGTATGCCTGCTGTCCCTCTGGGACCCTCATGAAAAGGAGGTATTTATGTCCCTGCCTGTGCCCGTAAATGAATTGCCCCCTAAAGTAAATATAATATATAAAGCTATGTCTGGCTCCAAAGTCATGCTATGTGCCTCCCTCTGGCTATAGAGGAAGTTACTCTTGCTTATCAGAAGGCCAAATTTGGCGTGGCATTATTAGGTTGCAGGCAATATGGTAATGGGACCCAGAGAAGTGGTTTTAACCAACAGAGAATGCCTCTGAGCCTGCTGGCTGCCAGGGGAAGTGTACATTACCTTACCCTTGAGCTCGGAGAACTTATGTAAATGCAAAGAGAAGTCAGATCCTTTGAGAATTGGCATCATATCACTAGTTCGTGCAGGGGAAGTGGTTAAAGACATCAATGTGAAAATACATTTTCACTTCCATGGCATGGAAGTTGGAAAAACTAGAATTTATTTTACTTTCTTGCTCTAAATCAATCAGGAATTACTAAGCTCCCATGAGGAAACCAAATATGCAGGAAGTTAGCCACTTGACATGACTGCGGCCACATTTCAAGCTAGACAATGAGACAGGACAATAGAGAAGGAAAGTCAGGTTGAAATTATATGGCTTCATGGCTGAACAATGCCATTTATTTCCTCTTCCTGATGCACAGCTTCTGCCCATGAGCCATCAGTTCTATCCAATTCTTTTCTATTTCTCCAGGTTCTTCAGAATATTTGTGTCTGATGTCAGTTGTTAGTTCAATTGCATTGTTAGAGTTAAATAACATTGCTTTGAAGCCATGAACATATGGATTAAAATGCAGACTCTGCTGCTTGCTGGCTCTGTGGCTTTATACGGCCTTTCTGAGCCCTGCTTGTTTTATGAAAACATCATACAATCTATATTAAAAGTTAGATGGGCCTGGCATGGTGGCTCACGGCTATAGTCCCAGCACTTTGGAAGGCTGAGGCCAGCAGATCACGAGGTCAAGAGATCAAGACCAGCCTGGCCAACATAGTGAAACCTCGTCTCTACTAAAAAGACAAAAAATAACTGCTCATGGTGGCGTGCACCTACAGTCCCAGCTACTCGGGAGGCTGAGGCAGGAGAATCGCTTGAACCCGGGAGGCAGAGGTTGCAGTGAGCCGAGATTGCCCCACTGTACTCCAGCCTGGTGACAGAGAGAGACTGTCAAAAAAAAAAAAAAAGTTAGATGACACCTGAAACACAGAGTAGTTTCATGGAAAGTGAAGATTTGAAAGCAGATCATCATTATAAGATATGAGAAAAACAACTCATCAAAAATATTTTAAGAGAAAGCATTATTTTAAGAGAAAGCATTAAACTGAGGTATATTTTGTTAATTACTATCCTAAAACTTTTAGTGCTTACCACGTGTAATGTGTTGGCATAATAGAAGACATAATTTCTCCCAAAGGCGTCAAACTTGTCCTTGATACTCAAGTGAAGATATTGGTCAGATGTTACTGATTTTAATTTAAAATTCAGAAATAGAAATATGCCAGGCACTGTGGCTAATGCCTATAATCCCAGCACTTTAGGAGGCAAGGCGGGAAGATCACTTGAGCCTGGAAGATTGAGGCTGAAGTGAGCTATGATTGCACCACTGCACTCCAGCCCAAGCTAGAGAGAGAGAGAGAGAGAGAGAGAGAGAGACTCCATCTCAAAAAAAGAGAGAGAGAGAGACCCCATCTCAAAAAAAAAGAGAGAGAGAGAAAATAAAGTTTCAGAAAGACTTCTGAATCTTAAAAAATTAAACATAAGTCTATGAAAACATAAGCAATAGTCTCATACTATTGTATGAGTGGTCTCTTCTTTTCTTTCTCTCCCAAGGATATCCTTCTCAGCCTAAAACACTTTTGTCGACACTTCGCCCAATATCCATCACATTTTACATCTGCTAAGAATTTTAACTTTTATTGTCAGTTTAACCAACAATTCAATAATATAGAAAGCGGAAGAATCAGGATTGATTCAGCCAATTCAAACTTTACATACTGAGGCATTTGCAGCAAATCTAGTAAACATCTTTGGATTTTCCAGAAACTTAAAGCAGTCTATTTGTTTGTGTCTCCCTGTTTTGTTTTGTTTTTTTTTTTTTTGAGGTGGGGGTCTCGCTCTGTTGCCCAGGCTGGAGTTCAGTGGTGCAACCATAGCTCACAACAGCCTCCGCCTCCCGGACTCAAGTGATCCTCCTACCTCAGCCTCCTGAGTAGCTGAGACCACACGTTTCATTCACCATATCATCTCAAAGCTTAAATAAGAGCCTGTCAAGCACCAAATAAAGTTGGAGTAGGAAGAGTGGTGTCAAACTTTTGAAGAGAAAGTTTTAAACTGAGCATTCCAAGAAATAACTGGTGTTTTCTCTTCCTCTTGCTGATTGGAGAAACTGAAGGATGGAGCAATTAAAATTTCCCAACCCCATTCAGTGGAAAAGGAAACATACTGTGGAAAGAATTGCTAGCAATTGTAGTCAGTGTCCATCTCTATGGATTTGGCGTGGAAATTCACATTACAACAAGTGAAAAACAACTCACGGTACCCTCAATACAATGGGCATCGATTCTGCTTCCCTTGGTGATTTAAAAACAAATCTGGATCTGGATATATGTGCTTTAGAAAATGCAATTTGTCGACTTGGTTGTTACTATATGGCATTTGTAGAGCTTGACTTAGGCTTGTCTTAAAAAAAAAGCTTCTTAAAACTGTATGCCTTTATCAGAAGTCGCCCCTCGGCTATTTACAAGTGCCATGGTTACAGACCTGCTAGACTGATGATATTCACATGCAGGAAACAATGCAAGGAAAACAGGATTTGCACGGCTCCGACTGCACTGGCCCAAGAATTCCAGGAAGTGATTGTACTTTATGAAACCGTCTGTGCTCCGCTAGATTGTCTATAGCTTTTAAGGTCAAGTCCTATCACGGCGAGTTTGCAATGCCCTTTGTAACAAGGCAGAGTGTTTATGAAGCTGAGTACATGCTGTATTGTTTATCAGCCCAGGCAGTTGAAAGGTGCGATATTCCAATCTTGTGGTTCAGGATGGCACTGGGAATCGATCACAGGCTTTTCTGACATAGGCTTGGGATTAGTTCAAAGAGTCCCTGGCAACAGTGACCATGCGACAGTCCAGCACATGGAGAAAGTCACGAAGCCCACAGTCCCTGACAGGAGAGATGGGTTTGTGTGGGAGATCAATGTGGGGAGCACTGTGAGTTTATGTTTTAAGATCCCTGTGCTTCCTGCTGTAGCTGAGCAGTCTCCTTGGAGAGTGAAAGGTGCTGGCGTACAGTAACTGCTGATTCTGAGAGTACGGAAAGGAGAGTGAGACAACAATGGAATTTATTTCTTCGTAAGAGAGCTGGGAGGCAGCCAGGCATTCCAGGCCCTTGCTCTCGAATTCTTTGATTTCTCTACATGCATAATGACTAGAGACTCCTGTTGCCTCTGGACTCGGGGATACTGGAGCCGGACAGTGGACGCCCAAACCGCTCATGTTACTCCACAGCCCTGCCTAATTTTAGGCGCCAAGGCTGGACGTGACTGACCAGACTCCTGCTCGCTCCCTCTCCACGAATGATGTTGGTCCCTGAAGCTAGGTTAAACAAGCAATAGTCCACAGCTATTGTTAAGGACGCTGTCGTGATGGAATCAGCTGGGCACTGGGCATCCTTTGCACTCGGAGTGATGGCGGCTAGCCAGGCATCTGTGAACTTTCTGGAGACATTTAGGTGTTGTGTACCAAAGTCACGGCACCTTAGGGGCAAGCATGATCCCCCAGTGTTTTCAGATGCGTGGACTGAATGAACCTCAGTGAGTGACTGCTGATGTCAAATCAATCAATATCGATTTAATGAAGTCTGTTAGTTTATAAGTCAAGTGACTTGCCATTAGGGACTGTTTCCTCAAGGATGACAAAATAAATAACAACAATGAAATACTTTTTATCCAGTTACCACGTTCTGTGCCCCATACTGGCTTTTGAAGATCTGGCTTTGCAATGTAGCGTTGTATTTTATTGACTGAATTTTATTTTATTTCTAAATTCATAGGCATCTTGAGGTTCATCACTTCATAGGTACTCTGGACTAACATCACATAGTTATCAAGCCTTTTAATAAAACTGTTATTTTTTTCTAGTAGACTCAATAGAGGACCATTGTTGGATGTCTTATAGGCATAACTACCTCATAAAGGGTTGCTAATTACTGGCCAAAACACTTAACTAAATAAAAATTAAAAGTTCCACTCATCAGGTAAGAAGAGTCCTGAAACCTGTGTTTTGGTCTTGACTCTCCCATTAACTCCTAGGAAATTTTACCTCCCCCAGTGACAGACATTGGGATAATCATTCCCTGCCCCTTTGTTTTTCCTCTGCAAAAAGAGGTGCTTTAAATATGTAATTGATCTCTAGGGGATTTCCCATCTATGAAGATTGAATCTCTAACACTCGGCCTGTAAGTCAGAAGACTCAGAGGTGTTTGAACCAGAGCAACTCCATCTCGAATAGGAGCTGGGTAAAATAAGGCTGATACTTGCTGGGCTGCATTCCTACTAAGTTAGGCATTCTAAGTCATAGGATGAGATCGGAGGTCGCACAAAATACAGGTCATAAAGACATTGCTGATAAAACAGGTTGCAGTAAAAAAAGCCTGCCAAAACCCACCCAGTCAAGACAAGAGTGACTTCTGGTTGTCCTCACTGCTACACTCCCACCAGCACTGTGATAGTTTACAAATGCCATGGCAACATCATGAAGTTACCCTATAGGGTTTAAAAAGGGGAGGCATGAATAACCCACGCCTTGCTTAGCATATCATCAAGATATAACCATAAAAATGGACAACCAGTAGCTCTCAGAGCTGCTCTGCTTCTGTACGCCATTCTTTTATTCCTTTACTTTTTTAATAAACTTGCTTTCACTTTACTCTATGGATTCACCTCAAATCCTTTCTTGCGCAAGATCCAAGAACCCTGTCTCGTGGTCTGTTACCCCTTTCCGGTAACATTTAGAGAGGGAAAGTGAAAGCTTCCTAGGAGAAGTAGGAAAGTAGAAAAACAAAGGAGGAAAAAAAAAAAACAAAGTATGAAAATTTGAGGAGAAATACTGCTATAGGGAGAAAAATAATTAATAATTATTTACTTTGTAAATATAAAGTATTATTTTTAATACTTTTTTCACATTTATTAAATCCTTAGAAAAATTCTAGGAATTTGATATTATGATTTTTTAATGAACAAATAAGGAAACTGAAGTTTGTAAAGTCTTTTTTTTTTTTTTTTTGAGACAGAGTCTTGCTCTGTTGCCCAGGCTGGAGTGCAGTGGCATGATCTCTCAGCTCACTGCAAACTCCACCTCCCGGGTTCAAGCGATTCTCCTGCCTCAGCCTCCCGAGTAGCTGGGATTACAGGCACCCACCACCACACCCAGCTAATTTTTATATTTTTAGTAGAGACGGGGTTTCACCATATTGGCCAGACTGGTCTCGAACTCCTGACCTCAGGTGATCCACCCGCCTCAGACTCCCAGAGTGCTGGGATTACAGGCGTGAGCCACCTCGCCCGGCCTGTAAAGTCGTTAAATGACATGCCAAAGATACATTTGATTAAGAAGTTGAGTCTAAAACAAACCAAGCTCTTGGGCTCCAAAACTAGGGCCCCTAAAAGGATCCACCTGCAAAGGAGGAAGTGTCTAATTGGAAAGAGGATGAACTAAAAGCACATTCAGTCTTGGTTTTTCTAGCTATACCTACAATGTTCAGTCTTCTCTGTTTCAGGTAGCATAAATACAAAAGGCCATGGGCCTTGCGTAAGAACGTTTTCTGATTTTAAACGTGCTAATTTTATTTTTTACCCTGTTAAGGTATGTATACATGAGAGGGAAAGGAAATTATGGAGTTATTTATTTGAGGTGTATCTAAGTTTTTTTAAAAGTACATTAGAAATTATGAAAACTGTACTCTATGCCCTAATGCTCTCAACACATTATCAGATTATGTAAATAAATACCTGGGCAAACTGCTTTATTTATTCAATGTTTATGCAGTTAGAGTTAAGAAAAATGCTATCTTTAGGCTTGGCATGGTGGTGCATGCCTGTAGTCCCAGCTACTCAGGTGGCTGTGACAGGAGGATTGCCTGAGCCCAGAGGTTCATGTCCAGCTTGAGTAACATAGCAAGACCCCATCCCTCTCACTTAACAAAAAGCTATATTTAAAAATTATAGGAGGCAACAATAGCAGTTATCAGAGAAAAAAATTGTTTATAGTTCTTACATTAGAAAAGAGGAAAGTCTTAAAATTGAGTGAACTAAATACCCAACCTAAAACAATTGAAAAAGAACTGCACAATAAACCCAAAGAAAGGGAAAAAAAGATAATAGAAATAAGTACAAAAACAAATAAAACAGAAAGTAAAATTTCAAAAAGCTAAAAATTGTTCCTTAAAGCGATAAATGTCTGGTGATATTTACCCCCCAAAAAGGAAAAAATATGAAAACAAATAGCATTAGGCATAAAAGAGAGAAGATACTTATTCTTTCCATAGATATTAGAAAGGAAAAAAAAAGAATATTATGAACAACTTTAGGCCAACAAGTTGTGAACAGATGAAATATATGTATTTGTAGAAAATATTACATAAAAATAACTTAAGAAAAACTAGAAATCCCCTGTATAGTAAAATCTAATTCAATCTGTAGTTAAAAATCTTGTCACACAGGAAATAATGTGCCAGAAGAGTTTACTCATGCTACCAAATATTTCTTACATAAATTCAAGAACAGAAAAAAAGGAACACTTCCAAGCATATTTTATGAGAGTTGTATAACCTTGATATAAATGCTAGCCAAGGACAGAACAAAATAGGAAAACTACAGATCAGGATTATTGTAATTCACTACTTTAACAAGTTAAAAGAGATTAAACCATATAATTACATCTATAGTTGCAAAAAAGATGTTCAATAAAATCAATAAACATTAATGATAATACTTTCATAAAAGTAGAAAGAAAATGAGTAAAAAGACTTAGAAAGGAAATGTCTTTAACTTCATAAAGAAGACCTACAAAACTCTAGGGCAAATACGATATATAATAGTAAAAGTTACAAGTATTCTTTTTAAGATCATGAACAAGACAAGGATGACCAGTCTTACAACTTCTTTTTCACACTGCAGTTGAAGTCTCAACTATCAAGACAAAACAAGAAAAAGAGAAGTTCTAAGAATTACTAGGAAAGAAATCAACTTCTTCTTGTTGCTATATTATTATTATTATTATTTGAGACAAGATCTCACTCTGTGGCCCAGGCTGGAATGGAGTGGTGCCATCGTAGCTTACTGCAGCCTTGCTTCTGGGCTCAAGCGATTCTCCCACCTCAGCCTCCCAAGTAGCTGGGACCCCAGGCATATGCCACCGTGCCTGGCTACTGTTTATTTTTGTAAGGACAGGGATCTCCATATGTTACCCAGGCTGGTCTCTAACTCCTGGACTCAAGCAATCCTTCCACCTCAGCCTCCCAGAGTGCTGGGATTACAAGCATGAGCCATCACACCCAGCTCAACCTCTCATTATTAACAGGTGATATTGTTTAAACAGATAAATATCAGCAAATAAATAAATTAAGAAAATTGACAAATTAGTGAATAAACAAAAGCAATTTTATATATATATCAAAAAATTCAGATAGAAAATGTACTTTAAGATATCTTTTACAAAAGTCATAAATTATATAAAATACATAAACACACAGGAATAAATCTAAGAAAAGGCATGCAGGACACCAATAGAGAAGAAGGAGAGAGCTTTTTTGAAGTTCAGTAAAGAACTCAATTATGGAAAAATATACCATGTTCCTGGATAAAACGATTCATATCATAAAGTTGTCCATTCTCTTCTAATGGACATAAACATAAATGTAATTATGATAACTCCAACAGGTTTTTCCATGGAACATGGCAAGTTGATTTTGAAATTTCTATAAAGAGTAAAGGGTAATGGATGGCCAACATGTTCCCAAGGAAGAAAAACAAGGAGTTTGTCCCATTACATATTGAAACATTGTAAAACTATAGTTATTAACTTATTAACAATGTGATATTGCACATTAATAAAGAAATAGACCAAAACGACAGAAGGGGACATTTAGAAACAAATTCACAGATATATGAAAATTTGATTTATGGTGGGGGTAGTATTTGAGATCAATGAGAAAAAGAAAAACTATTCAACTAATGCACAATACACAAACACCAAATTCAAAGAGGATTAAGGCATAAATGTAAAAGCCAAAACCATATAATACCCAAAAAAGCATGTAGGATAGTATCTATAAACAAAATTTAAAATGCACAACTCTAGAAGAAAATTGAAGAATTCAATTATTTTAAAACTAAAAACCCTTCTTTGTCAAAAGGGTGAAATAATTAACTATGGAGCAGCAAATATAAACAAATCACATATATAAAAGTAAATAAAATGTAGTTAATATTTTTATCTATCACTACTCCTAATTTGACTATTTAAAGAGCTCCAAGCAATTATTAAGAAACAGAGAAATGACCCAATAGAAAAATGGGCAAAAGACCCAAAAAAGGAATTCCAAAGAAAAGGAAACATACATGGCCCATAAACACATGGAAAGAAACTCAGCTTCATCATTAATCAGAGAAGTACAAATACAAATCACAGTGAAGTTTTGTGATACTGCAATTCACACCCACCAGACTGGGAGTAAAACCAGACAGTAGCACATTAAGAGGATGTTGAGCAATGAGAATTCTCATCTACATCTGGTGGGAGTTTAAATATGTACTACAACTGGCTGGATGCAGTGGCTCATACCTCTAATCCTAGCACTTTGGGAGGCCAAGGCCAGCGGATCATTTGAGGCCAAGAGTTCGAGATCAGCCTGGTCAACATGGCAAAAAACCCATATTTACAAAAAATACAAAAATTAGCCAGGCGTGGCCGGGCGCGGTGGCTCACGCCTGTAATCCCAGCACTTTGGGAGGCCAAGGCAGGCAGATCACGAGGTCAGGAAATCGAGACCATCCTGGCTAACAAGGTGAAACCCCTTCTCTACTAAAAATACAAAAATTAGCCAGGCGTAGTGGCGGGCGCCTGTAGTCCCAGCTACTGGGGAGGCTGAGGCAGGAGAATGGCGTGAACCCAGGAGGCAGAGCTTGCAGTGAGCAGAGATCGCGCCACTACACTCCAGCCTGGGCAACAGAGTGAGACTCCGTCTCAAAAAAAAAAAAAAAAAAAAAAAAATTAGCCAGGCGTGGTAACATGCACCTGTAGTCCCAGCTACTGGGGAGGCTGAGGTGGGAGGATGGCTTGAGCCCAAGAAGTCAAGGCTGCAGTGAGCCGTGATAGCAGCATCACAGCACTCCAGCCCAGTGACAAGTCAGACTCTGTCTCAAAGACAAAAAAGGAGAGTAAATAAATTCATAGGAAGGATTATTGTGCAACGGTGAAAGTTTAGTGAGCTACAGGCACAGGCATAAACAGGATGACTTCCCAAAACATAATTTTGAGCAAGAGGAGCAAGTCCCAAGAAAATATAAATAAAAAATTTCAATTTATATACATTCCCCCCAAAGAAAAAACTAAACTATATTTTGTTTTGGGTTATATACACGTGTGTTAAAACCATAAAGAAAAGCAGGAAATGGTGAACACAAAATTCAGGACAGTGGTTACCTCTGATGAGGGGCGGGAGAAGCAGTCTTTGAGGTTTACCCAGAAAGATTTAAGGTGTGGCATATATTCCATTTCTAAAGCTCAGTGTTGGGCATGTGGGTGTTCATTCTATCAATATTCTTTTTTTTTTTTTTTGAGACAGAGTCTCGCTCTCTCACCCAGGCTGGAGTGCAGTGGCACGATCTCGGCTCACTGCAAGCTCCGCCTCCCAGGTTCACGCCATTCTCCTGCCTCAGCCTCCCAAGTAGCTGGGACTACAGGTGCCCGCCACCATGCCCAGCTAATTTTTTGTATTTTTTAAGTAGAGACAGGGTTTCACCATGTTAGCCAGGATGGTCTCGATCTCTTGACTTTGTGATCCGCCCGCCTCAGCCTCCCAAAGTGCTGGGATTACAGGCATGACCACCGCGCCCGGCCTATCACTATTCCTTAGAGTGCAGTTGTATTTTAGTTTCTTCTGTGTACGTGTGATATACTCCACAATGAAAATAAACAAATCTATACTTACCATGGCCTTCTCATGTCCAGAAACCCCTCGAAATACCCTTATCCTTTACCGCTGGACCATTTGGGTGGGAAATGATTACAAAGCCCTATCTTAAGCTTCATCAATGTGATGGATTAGTTTTAAGGTTTGAATGAACAAGATGATAGAAAATGAGAGAGCGCACTGGCTCCCCAGGTGGGCACAGAGGCTCAGAGGATAGGAATTTAGTGAGTGCCACTGTCAACATACTTCACATAGTTGGCAGTTTTGCCTAACATGGTCTCTGCCTGCAGAATTGCCACAAGTTGGAAATCCCACATCAGTCACCACTTCCTCGGGGACATTAGTTGTTCATGTAAATTCCGAACAATGGAAGCTGGCTTTTCATCCATACGGAAATGGAACACAAAGACAGAGCCCTAGAAGTGGAGTGTGAGTGCTGAGGATTTTCCCTAAGCCTCTTCCCTTCCACATGTGTTGATGTGTGATGTGTTGGTTAAGTATTTGGAAAGCACATCAGGTTTTAGTAATTTTTTTTCTCTAAAAAGAACAATTTGCTCTTAGAAGAATGACAGTTTTCTTTCCTTATTACATGAAATCACCCTCTGACCCCCTAAAAAGCAGAGATCTTTTGTAGGGATACACACAAGTGTGAAAAACTGAAAAGCAGAACTGGTAATAATGGACAGAAAATTAAAGAGAGCTGTCACCTCTGTCAAGGGGAAGGAGGACATGATCATGGAGATTTACTAGGTGAGGAAGGTGGTTCTGAAATACTGGCAATATTCTAGTTCTTAAGTGTTATTCTTTAAATGGCACATAAACGTTTCATAGTCTCCTTTGCATATATTGTATATTTCACAATACATTTTTATTTGTTTTATTTTACCTGAAGTTCTACCTAGTTGCCAAAAAAAAGCAGAAGTAAAAAAAGCTTTGCCAAAGAACCAGGATCAGAACCAAGCAGACCAGTAGGAGAGAGGTTTTTCTTTTTTTTAAAATTTTTAACTTCTAATTTTTGTGGGTATGTAGTAGCTGTATATATTTCTAGGTTCCAAGAGGTGTTTCGATACAGGCATGCAATGTGACATAAGCACATCACAGAGAATGGGGTATCCGTCTCCTCAAGCATTTATCCAGAGAGAGATTTTTCATGTACACCAGTACTCTTCTTTTCAGGTTTCAGCCTTTTAAATACATAACTTTCACAAGAGATGTTTTGAATGTTTTCCCTTGACCTTGAGAAAGAAAAGCATTTGCTGAGATGTTGCCTATGTGTGAAAGGGAGGGGAATCCTAGAGGAGAGGCCACTGAGTTTGCCACCCAGTTGACGCATAAGAAGCAACTTGAGAAGGACTCCAAAAGCAGCAGGTCAGCAAGTGGAAACCAGCATTGAATCAGCTGAATGGGTACCTGGAAGTGGGGTGAATGTTAAGTGTCAGTTTGCCTGCAATCGCCCCCGCTATGTATTCCTGTCCCAGAGTAATCATTAACAGCACTCCTGTTAGTGGCAGCAAATTTGTATGGGTCTGCAGCAACCTCAGCTCTCGCCTCCTCAGAAGAAAGCATTCAACTGAGGGGCCTATAGCAGAGTAAGAGACCGAGGCAAGTTTGAGAGCAGGAGTGAAAGCTTATTAAACAGCTTCAGAACAGGAACAAAAGGAAATAAAGCACCCTTGCAAGAGGGCCACGTGGGCAACTTGAGAGCTCAAGAGCGCTATTTGACTTCTGACTTGGGGTTTTATATGTTGGCACGTTTCTGAGGAGTTGTGCCTCTTCTCCCCTGAGCCTTTCCTTAGGGCAGCCTGTCTGCATGAGCAGTGACCTCCCAGCTCTTGGGAGGGGAGGTGCCGTGTGTTTACTGGAGTTGTGCGCATGCTCACTTGAAGCATTCTTCCCTTATCAGTCGAGCGTTCCCATAAGGTCATATCCAGTTAAACTCTGCCATTTTGCCTCTTAGTTTACAGGTGTCAGCCCACTTGCCCAGCTCCTGAGATCTTACTGGGAAGCTGCTGATCACCAGTTTCAGGTGTTTCTATTGAGAGACTGCCTTTCCCTGCATGGGTTGCAACCAATGATTGTTTTAGAGAGACAATTGACAACTGCCTGACCATCACCTGACGGTTGTTTGACTTTCCCATGCGGGGGAGTGGGGAAGCCTCTCTTGCTCTGCTCATCTCTGCCTGACTACCTACTGTAACACTTCTTTCACTTTCAAAAGTGTCCCAATTTGACCATAAATAATGTGGTTAACCCGTACATAAAGGAAGAAATGTAATGTGCTGTGGGAGGAGAAGGGCTCATGCAGGAAGACCTCTTAAAAAGGGACTATCTAGGGCTTAGATGCTGTGGCTCTAATTGGCAAAGAAGTGTGGTAAAACTTTTAAAAAAAATATTAAAGAGAGGAAAAGAAGGAGAGAAGGAGGAGGATAATTATTTTTGTGTTTATTTAGATCTATACAAAGAAACACACAATGGAAGTAGTAATTTCTTTGACCAACTTTTCTTCTGCTTTGAGCTTCTGAAGAGCATGCCTGGGCTTTCTTTCACCTCAATTTCATTTTCATCTGAGATAAGTAAAAGATATATGGGAACTGGCATTATCTAAGTTAATTTAGAGATTAGGGTGAGTTCATTTCCAGCTCTTCATCTTGCCTGTGGAGGAAAGGCTGGAAGCTTCCTACTCTTTCACATCACAGAGCTTGTGACCTGTAATTTTTGCTGTTTCTCAATCTGCATTCTTGTAGCTTTGTTCATTAATGGAATGCTGTAATTTATGAGCTTTCCTCTTTTGACCCTTTAAGAGAACTTTATCAGCATTCTCTAATTTTATTAACAAAACAAAAGAAACTATTTTTAGGAACGATGATCACATAAGGCTGAACCCAGACCATCCCAAGCAGATGTTGCGGTCCTGCAAAGTGGTCCCGTGAGGTAGTTGCTCCAACACGTGGTCTCAGCTCAGAAGTCACTGTTTTTGCAAACGTTGTCCTTAAAGGAGGAACAAGGTGCAGAACTTTTGTTTCTCTTTTCCTTTCTTTTGAAATATCAATTTGCCTATAACCATAGGGTAAATAACAGTCTATAGGAAAAAGGGGAAGCGATGTAGAGTTAAACAGAGGAAGGAGTAAGCAGAAAAAGTAACAGGTCACACAGAAACCAAGAAACTACAAGTTATAATGATGGTGGTTCCGTTTTCTTCCTGCATCTATGATTTCGAAACGGGCTAAATTGGGATGGGTAAGATCTAATTGGGATTCCCCCCAGATGCAACATCTTTGTGAATTTGTGGATGGGACCAGATAAGAAACTCGTGGAGGAAGGAGATTCAAATGAGCAGATTTCAGTATCCTTCAGGCAAACCCAGCCTTGAGTATTTCTCAGCTTTTGGAGATCCCAGGAAAAACATAAATGATGGAGTCACTAGGAGATAAACAATGTAATTTGACTCAAGAGAATGGGCAGAAAATCAGACACCCTAGGAGAAAAAAACAACCTGCTATTTGTAAATTTATTCATGGTGGTCAAGATCAATAACAGCAATCAAACGGTTTAGTTGCACGGAGGAAAACTTTATTTACTGGTCCCAGGCATGCTAAGCTCTGCACACAGATTTCCTGGGTGCAGGAGGATCACCTAGAATTAATTGTAAAAAGTTGCATCATATCCAAGACGTATTTGTCAGCAAAAAGACTCACACAAGAGGTTTAAACTGATGAATACCCACTCTGATGGCTCAGTAAATACTATCAGTGATGCCTTAATTTTTCTTGGTTTTAAGGATGTCTTTCTTCTATATAAGCACTTCATTTCTCCCTTTTAGTTGCTTCATACAAGAGTAATCAATTGATATGTTAGACTTTCACTGGACATTTCATGGCAAAAGGAATATTGACCCAGTATTGACATTAATAATACACATAAAGGAGAATGGCAGGCAAACCTACAAAAATCTCTCCCTATCAACACAGACTCCAGCAAAGGTCATAGGAGAGTGGAGCATTTACAGAGAGGTGAAAAGTATTGACAGAGATTAGCATGGAGCAGGGAAGAGAGACATACAATTTGTGTTTTAGAGCATGGCTGTCCCTCATATACATGCTTGTTCAATTTTTATTAAGGCAATGTACCAAGTGTTTATTTTTTTCCCTACTCCTCCAAATAATGAGCAAGGTCATCTCTTTCCCAGAATGAAAAATGTGGTGATGGTGGCTTCCTCCCTGAGAAACTAGCTGAGCCTATTAGCAGGGAAGCCACCCAGAAGGAAGGCTTCCACGTGTCAGGATGGATTCTTTCTCTGTAATATTTGAGCTCATTTGCTTCTCCAGGCAAATAGTAGTGTCTCTCCTTTTTAAAACAAATACACTTGGGAGGAGTCTTATTTTAAGTGTTGTTGACTTTTGGATTAATTATTAAGGTGGTGTTTGGGACAAATTAGAATATAGTCAGCTGAGGGCAAAGATGACTGTTTCAGAAGGGGAAGGCTATTGATGGGTACGGGAAGTGGAGCTGAAGAGAGATGGCAGAGACATCAGGAGACAGAAGATGATGGAAGAGAAGAGAAGTGGGAAGAAGATGAAGATGAATTTCTCTGATTAAAACATTTTATCTAAATTAATTCTAGCCATTCTTCTGGGAATTCGCTCATGCTCTTCCTTGCAATGTGTGTTCCTGGGGCAGACATTTATTGACCAGCTGCAGTGTTCCAGGCACTTTACTCAAACCTAGCGATTCAAAAGTGAGTAAGTTATAGGGATGGCTTCTATAACAGATAACATGCTAGAGGAAATGGCATCTAATGTGAGCTTTGAAGAGTGAATAAGCATTCACAAAGGAGGCAGTAGTGTGGAGCAGGACAGGGCCATTTGTGATTCCCAACTCAAATGAACACTCAAACATTGCTTGCACTTTTTTCAACTCTTCCTCAGAGTCACTAACTCTATACTTTGTAGTGCTGAGCCTTCAACGCTGCCCTATATCTATTTACTGTCAGGAAATAAACTAATTTTCTGTTTCTCGAAAAAAGAGAGACCACCGTTCATGAAAATCTTCCATTTATTTTTGCCATCACCTATCCATCCATATCTCCCTCCACCCCATCACCTGGTCTCATAGGAAAATGTATTCCCTCTTCCTCCTAGATAAAACCCAGCCTTTCTTCAAGTCACTGAGACCTGGACCTTTCACATCTCACCTGGAAGCTATGAAATCATCATCTCCATTATCTTTGCATCTTTATCCTCTTCCTTAGGTTCAGCATGAACAAAAGCTCAGCTCCTCTCCATTTCAAAAAGCAAACATGCATATGCACACATGCACACGCACACACAGAAAAACTCTTATTAAAATAATCCCAATCTGTTTTTCCCCTACCAGTACTTAGATTGTTTTATTAATCTCCTCATTGAAAAATCAATGAACTCATCTTAATTCTCATTCTAATTGATCTTTCTGCACCATTGTATATTGCTGATCTTTTCTTCCTTCTTAGAATGCTCTCCTTTCTAAGTAAGATACTCATGGAATACTCTCCTTTCTGAAATATTGACTCTTTACCAGTTCCCTTCCTTTTAGCTGTCTCCTCCTGACTTATTAGTCCTTATCCCTTAAATGTTCGTAGTCTCCAGGGTTCAGACCTTGACCCAATTCTCACTCCATTACCTTTCCCAAGCAATTTTATTCACTTGTAGGGATTACTTTCTCTGACTTCTCACACCAAACCAACAGCAATTTATGTTAGATCTTCCTTCCTAACATTAATCAATTCTAACCTCCTCTCTACATCCCATCTACTGTCACTACTCAGCTTTGGCCATCCTCATCTCCCACCTGGTTTAGAATAAAAGCCTCCTAATGCATCTCTCTGCCTCTTCTGGCCACCCTCCAATTCTTTAAAGCTGTGCAAGAGTGATGTTTCTAAGCGATAAATTTTATCTCTCTGCTATCCTTCTTAAAACACTTGAGCGGCTCCTCAATGCTTTCAGAAGAAAGTCCATATCCTTAATCAAAATTCTCACTGTGATGCAGCAAATTATTTAAGACTTTTCACAATATACTTTTCTGATGTCTCCTCCCCTTCCTTACCCACCAAGCATACACTTGGAAAGATTTTTCATCGTGATTTTTCAATCATGCCATGGTTTTCAAACCTCGTGCTTTTGCTTCTGCTTAAAGTTGAGCCTGGAATACCTTAAATTTACTTACTTGAAAAAATTGCATTTATTCTTCAAAATACAAATAAAATACTTCCTCTCTGAAGCATTTCTTGATATTCCTCCTTACTCTTTCCACTGTGCAAATACACATATCTCAACCAAAGTTAGTTATTATTTCCTCTATATCCCTATCATATTTAATTCCTTCCATTACTTATCACTCATACCAGATTGTTTTATGGCTCTATGATCGCTGTGTTCCTCCTGGGAAATTAAAGACTTAATCCAGCATGACATGGACAGTTGATGTCACAACCAGAACAACAATGATCTAGAGTGCATAAGCCAGTTAGCCATCTCTTAGGCCATGCTGTGTGGTTGATATCATCCTGCCAGAAGGGAAAGACATAGATCTGATAACCTCTGTAAGTCTCCATCTGCTACCGCCATGATTCTATGAATAACCTCTTTAAACATTGCTTCATGACAGAATCTACATAGCTGAGGCCTTTGTTTTCTAAAGGCTACCCTGGGAACAGCAGCAGGAAAAACAGCATCTCTCTCACCACATCATAGGCATCATTAGTGAAGGTGATATCTTGGTAGTGTTCAGACTTGACATCATTCCTAGATGCCTGGATAAACAGAATGACATTTTTAGGACTGCCCCATAAACTGAATCGTTCTGAAAAGTGCCCCAGTGACCCAAGTGGTTGGGCTTTCTGAGTGGTGATTTACTGTGGCTTATGGGGTAGTTGAATGAATTAATTGTGCTTAATTGAGCTATTAGTTCAAAGATCTTTCTGAAGATCAATCCAATATCAAAGTCCTTCTAAAGTCTAAAGAACTTTTTTCTTTTCTAAAATGGAAATTGGGATGGAGAAGTGATTACAAATCTAGTGAACTTATATATTTTAATTTAATTGCAGATACTGGAAAACCCAGTTGTAAGTAAATTATAAAAAGACACACTTCCTGTGCAAATAGAACTGTTTGTAAAGAATTTAAGTTCCTTGGATAAATAATTACTTTAAGCAATAGTTTTATAATATGGAATGGAAGTTCTGGGCATCATGTGCAAAAGATATGATCCACAAAACATGATAGCACTTCAGCTTTGAAAATTTATCCTGCTCTTTGGGGGACCTGGGGGAGTGAAGGATGTGAAAATTTTGGGTCCAAAAGCCTAGGCCTCTCATGAAGTTCATCTTTAACTGCTTATATGACTTAAAGGAAGACAACCACCTGGTATGTCATTTTCCCCCAGTAAAATATGGGTTAAAAACACCTACCTTACAAAGAGACTGTGAATTAGTTATGATAAGTGAAATAGAAGTTTCCTGGGTTCTTAGGAGAAGTCAAACATTCTAAGGCTGAGGTGTCTGGGTCTCTATTGCATCATTTACTCGTTGAGCAAATAGTCATTGAGCACCTGTTATATGTCAAGCACTATTCTAAGATCTGGGGATGAAAAGACAACTAAAGAGACAAAAATTCTGGGGACTCCTAGAGGGAGGAGAAGGGGAGGAAGGCAAAGTCTGAGAAACTACCTACTGGGTACTATACTCACTACCTGGGGGACAAGATCATTCATATCTCAAACCTCAGCATCATGCAATGTACCCATGTAACAAACCTGCACATGTACCCCCTGAATCTAAAATAAAAGTGGCAATTATAATTTTAAAAAGAGTTATTTAATGGGGGAGGAGAAAAGCAAGCAACAAACAAAGAACTAAGTAAAGTAGGTATTAGAAGATGGGAAGATGGGAGGTAGTGTGGAGAACAATAAAAAGGGAAGGGGGCCGGGCAATCCTGTGGGTTGTGGTGGATTTCGATTTTAAATATAAAGCTGAGAAAGGACCTCACGGAGAGAGTGACTTTTCAGAAGCACATGAGGAGGTGAGTGAGATGAGGTGAGAACATGAGGATATCTGGAGAAAGAGTAACCCAGGCAGAGAAAACAAAGGCATGGGAGTCTTGAGATGCAAAAGTAACTGTGTTCAGGGAACAGTGCAAAGGCCAGCATGGCTGCATGGCGGAAAATAGTGAGTTAGCAGGGGGCGAGATGTATACAGCCTTGGAGCCTATTGAAAGGATTTGCTTCTCTGAGGGAGATGAGAGCCACTGGAGCATTTGATGCAGAGGAGGAAAATGGTCTAACTTGCATCTTGAAGTATCCCTCTGGTTGCTGTTTTGAGAATAGATTTGTGGGGAGATGCCCAGGTGGAAGCCGTTAGGAGGCAGTTGCAGTAGTGCAGTTAGTGACCCAGACCAGGGAGGTGGCAATGGAAGCAATGAGAAGTAGTCAGACGCTGGATATATGTCACAAATAGAGACCTCACAGGACTTCCTATTGGAATGAATTGGGAGCGTTAGAGAAAGAAAGAAGCCAAGATTGACAGCAAGGTGTTTGTCCTGGCAAGTGGAAGAATGTACTGGCCATTACAACTCCATTGGTGACACTAGCTCAATTTGGGGGGAACTTAAAGCAAATAATTTAACATGATCTCTTTATCTGCCTTTGTTATGTATCTTTCTAAATCATAAAATGGGAATACTCAACTGAGAATTTTTTAAGACCTTAATTGAAAGATGCTATCTAATAAAATTTTTTCTTGTGTCTGTTACATTAAAAGGCTTGTTTGATTCTAATAAAATATCTATGATATAAAACATGTCTACAAGAAAGGTTAACAAGAAAGAAATGATAGAATATTATTACTCAGGTTTTCTAAGTGAAGAAACTGAGGTCCTGAGAAATTGACATGCACAAAGATGCAGTTCTTCAGATTTCTTCTTCAGAGTACTCTCTAGCATAACCATTACCTCTCTGACAACAGTAAGCCCCATCCATGGTACTTTTTATAATGATTTTTCTCCAGAAAGGCTCTTCGTTTTAATAGCTAATGAACCCGTCAACTAGAGAATATTGATTGTTATATAGGACACAATCTATTACCAGGTTTCCTCTTTCTTTTCCTTTAAATCCTGTTTTCCCACCTTTCAAGTTGAAAAGAGTCTCTAATCTAGGACTTTTATTGTTCCTTATATATAAGTTAAAATGTGAAGAATGACTTGAAATGCAAATGCTACTTTAACATCTTTCCAGCAAATACTACTTCTTGTACTAATGCTAGAGAGTGTGAGATAAATAAATTGGAATTCAATTTTTCCTTCTTCTCAACTCTCTCTGTCATTTTAGAACATTGTGAAAGGCAGCAAGCTATGCTAGAAGATAAAGCTTATAACAATTTTTATTTCCTCTGTTGTGGCCCCCCCACCGCCTTCCCCCACCAAAAAATCTTAACTGTTTGTTTTATAGTCTTCTCTGCTCTCAGGGGATTTGAGGTATGCAAAGCTTTGGCTGAGATTGGAAAGAAACAGCTCAGAGGTGGGGACTGCTGCTTAAAATGTTCCTTTGTTTCATTTTTTTTTCCTGTTATTGTATATGAAACTTTGAAACTATCCTGACTTTCCATTCCAAAGGCACAGGCCAGGACAGGTGCCAATCGCAGCGACCATTTGGTGGAGGGGTATACATGATGATTGGTTTTTATGGGGGCTCAGAGTGAAAGCAGAGGGGATCCTCAGAAGGTTTCATTATGAGATTAAGATGTTGGCCTTGTTAGGGTAAACTGTAATCCCCCGTCACCTTTTGGTGAGCGGGATCCTGTGAGAACATTCTACAAGGGAGATCTTCAGGTTTAATACCAACAAGCACAATGCAGGGTCCTAGCAGCCCAAGAACTGAGTGGAAACTCCAGGGCTGGGGATGCTAAACTCCATCTGTGTTGACTTGCTTTGTAACCTGAGGCAAGTGTCTTTAAATTCCCTCAGCCTCCACTTCTTCATCTAAGTCAGGCTTGCCACAGGCAGAGGTATTATGTAAATACATAGATACTATCAATCCTTGGGGAAAAAAAAAAATGCTTTGTTGAGCCAGCAGAGCTCTCTACTGCTTAAAGCAGGGTGTGAATAAGAGCTCCTGGGTCTTTCACCAAATCGCTGAACATGTTCCGAGATGCTGTAGAAAAGGTGCTTTCATGGCTTTAGACACAGTACACAACCGCTGCTCAGATTGAGTAGTATCTTTTTAATGGCAGGGTTGGGAAGGTGTGTTTTATTTTTCTTTTGGATAAGTCACTTGGAAGTGATGGACTTATGGGTCTGCTGGCCTGGCCATTTGACTATGTCGAACAGCAATCCCACCTTTAACTTGTTAGATCCATTTTCCATACTCCCCTCTATTCTCTCTCCCCTCCCAAATACACACACACACACACATACACACACACACACACACACAACTCTGCATTTGCTTGACCTGTAGAGTATGATTTGAGGGATGCCAAAGTGCTTCCTGTTGCCACATATATGCATTCCGAAACTTTTCTCCTGTTACAACACTCAAACCTGTTGTTTAAATAGAAAATAAGAGTCAAGCATACCCCATTGTTGTTAATGGGATCCGATCTGTGTCTACCAGTGTGGGCTCTGGGTTTGAATCTCAGCCTTGTCACTCAGCTTTGTGAATTCTCTGAGCCTTGATTTTATCTTCTGTAAAATGGTAGCAGTAATGGTACAGCCCTCATAGGGTTGCTGTGCAAAGTAAAGATGATAATGATGCAAAATCCTTGGAATATTGCCTGATGCATAATAAACACATAGTAGACACAGCTGCTGAGGTTATTATTGAAATGGTACAGCGGAAAGAAATGGTACGGAGGAAGGTAAATCAGGATGGCGTAATGGGATAGAGCAAACCATAGACTTGTACTAACCATTTATGAGCATTGAAGTTAACTTTTATTCTGCTTCTGCTGATGGCAAAATTTAGGCAGGCTTGCCAGAGCTGCCTTGTCCTGTAAGACAAAGACTAGCCTAACCAGTTCTTGCTAATAACTGGAGTGACCTCTAGTGGTTCTGATTTTTTTCATAGTGGAAAACACAAAACAAACCAGACTCACCCAAACCGTACACTATTTTGCTTGTACACCCAAAATTCAGAAGCTGATTAAATGGACACTAGTCTAGTGTTTAATTGAATTGACTGATTTATTAATAGAAGCCTTATTTCTACCAGACAGTTTCAAGAATCCCTTCCGAGTATGACCACACCCTCACTTCCATTTGGCCTTCTCTCCATTATTACTGAGTTGGGGGAGTAATTTATTAGCATTCAATTAAACTGTATAGATGTATTTAAAACATATATGATGCTTCCCATAGGCAAGACACTGTGCTAGGCAAAAAATAACGTATCAAGATGAAATATGGACAGACCCCTTTGAAAATACTAAAAAAGTACCTACTTTTAAACTGTACTAAAATAGATGTCGACACAAAGAATTACCACCATCTTATGCCTTACGGCATAAGCAACTTTGAAAAAGGCAACTTTGCTTTTTCTGCTGTGGGAAGAAACAGATCCCCTCAGAATAAAACAAAATAAAGCATGCATATCCATTGATACACAAGAGAATTCTCATCCATGGGCTGGGAGGTTTGGCCGAGAGTAGAGCCAGGTAGCAAAGGAGAAATGTACCCTGCTATGGTTTAAAAAAGAAAAATCAACATTAAATAAGGTAAAATTCAAAATTCAAAAATTAATTAAAGAAGTCATTTTAAATGTGTTTATTCTGCAACCATACATCATTTATGTTCTAGGTAATTCTATCTTCAAATAAATGTACTCCTCTTTACAAAAGCAACGCATTAAATATGCAAGTGAAAATGAAAACTTTTTATACCTTTATATAATTTTTATATAAATAAAACCACAAGTTATTTATATTACCAAATTCTATTATACATTGTAGAATATTAGTAAAGTACATATGGCCTATGCATAAAAAATAAGAGTCCCAAAGAAAATACTAGTGTCCTGATATAAGGCCCATACTCTGATTTTTTTTTTTACTTGATGAGTATTTGAGAGTGGAAAATATTTTTAGCTATCCATGCAAAGTGCAATTGTCTCTTATTTTTCCACTTGTACTTCATGAAGACCTTTGGTGATATCTAGTTGACAGGCTAATAGCCTTACCACAAAGAGCTATTTAGACTTGGCAGAAATTTAGAAATTCCTGAAGCCTAAATCAATTTAAAAACCTAAAAACAAATTCACAAAACTTCAAATTCTGCCCTGGCACAACTTTATTTGGTAATAGCGTGTAGGGGGATTCATTCCAAACACAATGTCTTCTAACACTGGAATTTTCCTGAAGCACCAGGTTTCATCATTGGGAATTCTGTTCCACTTCTTTTTAGGGTTCCTATTTAGTGTCATTTATGTTCAGCTTATGCCCTGGGAGTACAGAAATAGCCAGTTGAGAGTATATAAAGTGTCCTGTTTTTAAAACTTATTTTTAAATTTGTTTTTATTCTTTTAAAATTATTTATTTCTTTATTTGCTTTCTTATTCTTCTTTATTTTTATTATATTTATGATTTATCTTATTTATCTTTAGCTGGTCATCAGTTTAAATAAATCTTAAAATGTTCCACATCTTAAAGATGTTGACTTCTCCAAGGTGGGGCTGGGTCTGATTAGGAGTTAAAACTGAGTGGAAAAAACAATTCACAAAGACATATTACAGGAAACATTTATAGGAAAAAAACTGAAAATTAGAATGTCATGTGCACCAATACAGTATGATGGTCTTTAAATTCTCATTGTCAAATCTTATTTGGTTCTATATTTAATATTTAAAACTATATTGACAATCTATTATTAGTCTTTCATAAGAAATTAATATTCTTAGAAAACATTCAGTGGTGCTTTGCACACAGTTGAACATCTTATACTTTTTTCAGCATTTTTACTCAAGCATTGGGCTGATAGTATTAATAAATATTGCTATTAATTATTTGAACTTAAATATTACCACTTAAAACAACTATAAACATGTTTAAAACAAAAAAAAGAGATTGGTTGAAAATACAGATTTAGAGTTAACCCTTCATGATAAATGAGAGAAGCTATGATATCTGGGTGTCTACCTTTGACTTCAGAGATGTAACAAAACTGGATACGGTATTAGGGCCATTGGGTGATAACTGCTCCAGGACGTTTTAAAGAAAGTAAAGTTAGCTTTAAGCAGCTTCACACGATTTTGGGGGATGCAATAGTGATTCATGCCTTTGAAAATTTGCAATCTTGCGTGTGTTGTTTCATACCATTCAGTTTTATCCACCTGCCATTTTCATCTGCCTTTTGAGTATTGGGGAACAGGTTTGAGCCTCTCGGTCCCTTGGGTAATGGTTTATCTCAGCAGTCTGCCGCCACCTAGTGTCTAGGATAGAGTGTCATCTATTAACTCACACTTCGTAACTGAAGGAAGAACTCCAACTGCTCACCAGAAAATACATAACGGCAAAAGCAAGCACACATGGGTGGTATGATAATGGCTCCCAAACTGATCCAATGATGCCATCACATGATATTCAGTTCTCATTAACACATGTCTTACAATGGGAATGGCAGGACATGGGGTGGGTAGGAGCGGCTGGTGGCAACAGTTCCGGTTTCACATTAAATCAGCAAACCACCTTACACATTTTCAAGCATCTGAGTCTCAAACCCCATTAAGTTAATGATGAGAATCCTCATAGCTCCAGCCTTACCTGATGAGTTTCACTAACACAATCACGAAAGCTCTGGTAGAATTTCAGAGGGATTTTCATTGAATTAGGTCTACCATTTTCAGAGATACTTTTGGCTACTTGGTCTTAGCATAAGGGAAATTTCTCTTTATTTTGCCAACAAAATTATAGACCTCTTTCACTTAAATCTTCCATTTATATCAAGCTACACTGGGATCATGTGTTACATATGAAAGTCTACTTCTTACTAGGATATGACAAACAGTATTTGACATCCACTCTTCTTTCTGAGCCTGTTCCACTTATAGCTGTTCTGAAGAATATATTTCATTTCAGGAACCAAACACAGTGCTGTTACATAAAGTCTGATTGATAGGAGTTAAGGTGGGCAGAAGTTATCAAAATCTGAAAATTAAGTGTTTCAAAGGGAAGGAATGCATTATCATTAGAGCAGTGGGAAGATAGAATTGCCTGTGCTCACTGGATGATTGGTGGGGAGCGTCAGCTTCCACTGCAGATCCCAAGCACTGAGCCAGCCTAGCTTCCTGAGAACTGCTGACCTCAAAATGCAGGAATGATGTTGCCAGACGAGGGTCCCTTCAGCAATCGATGGGCTCACACTGAAGTCTTGTTTGCTCGTCTCCCTGTGTGTCTCACTAGACTAGAATACTAAAACTCATGAAGAAACGGCCTCAGCGACTTGGAGCCAAAATGAGCACAGGGAATAAAAAAGAGAAATTAAAAATATCAGCCTCACTGTGACAGCCAGTCTAACATCTCCCTCCCTGCTCATCTCTCCCTTTCCCTCCCTACTGATTATCTCAAAATTCTTATGCTTCCTTATTCTCTGTCCCTGTCATACGCAGACACATGCACTCACATGTTTATCCCTCCTCTTTCTTTTCTGCAAGAAATATATGCCACAGAATCACTCTTCTGGTAGTAAAACAACCATTGGGTTTGGTTAAAACCCACAGCTGTAAAGTTTACCCATCCCCATTCAATTTCCCAATTGATTGCCAATCTTCTTCATCATTTCCTACATGGATATTGGGCTTTAAATGCTACAGCATCATACAAAGGAGCTGTAAATACAGCAAACATAACATTTATCTTTACCTTTACAATCCTGAATATTTTCATTTAAATAGTCTCATTTATTAAGTTTAGCCTTTCTCTGTTCTGATCATTAAGTACTTGGTTACCAGAAGGAAAACTGGATTTTGGATGAATAATTTATTCTGATAGTGTTAGTTTTGTTGTGTCCCTGAATGTTCGTGATATAGTTAATGAAGATGGGTCACTAAACCTATGTCACTGATGAGAAAAAAATTCCTACATGATAAACAGCAATGGAACCTGCATGCAGGTATGAGTATATATGTGTATATGCATATGTACACACACACACACACACACAGAGACACACACACAGAGGAATAAATATATGAACATACTGCAGAGATACTGAAGCCAGGAACAAGAATCTTGACTTAAATATTAGACAAAGAAAAGCTCCTTTTGTGAAAAAAACCATCTTAAAATATAAATTTTCAGTGCAGAACTTCAGTTACCAATTGTTAGTCTTCATAGTAAGCCTGATGATAATAAAATGTCTATTTTTTGTTTTTTAGAGACAGAGTCTCACTCCATCATCCAGACTGGAGTACAGTGGCACAATCATAGCTCACTGTAACCTCAAACTCCTGGGCTCAAGCTGTCTGCCTCAGCCTCCCGAGTAGTTTGGGTCACAGGCACGTGAGACACACCCAGCTAATTTTTTACTTTTTACTTTTTTTTTCCATAGAGATGAGTCTCATTATGTTGCCCAGGCTGGTCTCAAACTCCTGGCCTCAAACCATCCTCCTGTCAAAACACTTGGATTACAGGCATGAATCACCGCACCTGGCCAATAAAATGTCTATGCTTGTTGGAAAAAAAAAAACAAAACTCTGTTTATTGACACTCGCTGTATTATGTAAAGAAGGCTGAGAAGCCTTTTGCACACTGTTTTATGAAAATAACAGACAATACCCATCAGTTGTGGCGTGACTATATTGATGCGCTCTTGGTAAGGTGCTAAGAACAATCCTTTCTGTAAAAGGATGAAAAACAAAACCCTTGAGCAGTAAAAGATGACACATTCCACAAATGTTAGCTAATTTCCTGCAACAGAGCATAATGAAAGTGCATGTAGACAGGGTGTGCTTTATCTGCAAAAAGAGGAACAAAAAAAGAAACAAAAGCATCATCATATCTTTTGGTATCCAGAAATAAAATCCACTCAGTTAAATGGTGATTATGAGCAACTTTGAAAAGATTGTCAATATCGAATGCTATTTTTAAACAACAAAAGTTTCTCTTCATACCTCTAGCAGTCTTACATTTTAAAGAAACAGGCTCAAAATAGCACAACACATATTTCTAGGTTTCGATCATTAAAATTCTTCATCTGTGGACTACTAGCCATAAATAATCAACTTGAGAAAATAAACCAAACTTGATGGCTTTCTTGTTTCTTCTTACCATTTCTGGATCTTTGAACTTTCCCTTCCACTTTCTCAACCAAAGATAGCCTAAACAAAGAAAGCCAAAGCCAGCTTTTGCCCAATCTTTCCGATTGTCCTGCATAAATCAAACTAGAAGTGACCATATTCCTTGTTTCACTGAAAAGGGACTTAGTGTCATAGCTAAACCTTTCACTGGAGAAGAGAAATGGGGTTGGACAGAAAGACTAATTATAAACCTGCCAGTCAAGGTTTACCATAGAGAAACAACAGGAAATATCTATGAAGCTGTTCACAGCTTGTCAAGATGACCAATGGAAGACCACATATATGACTTACCTTGACAATAGCTTAAACTCTGGAATTTCCTTCCACTGTAGTAAGTTTTATGGTGCCCTTGAACCAGGGAAGCAGTGTGCTGTGCCGGGGGGCGGGGGTGGTTGGGGGAACTCAGGCTTTGCTGATAAACAAACCTAGGTTTGAATCCTCCAAAGTCTACTTACCAGGTGGATGGTTTCTACAATTTTTTAATGAGTCTGAACTTCTTCATTGTAAAATGAGTATAAAATCTCATTTGCAATACAATACCTAATTGTATTGTGTGAGGAACTAGAGATAATATGCAAAAAAGTACCTACAGCACATCTTTAAACATTATAAAGGGCGTTACAGGAGTTGAGCTTTGTTAAGTCTTTGTGAAGGTAGAGCTGTCCTAAACTGAAGTCACTCTACCATAGTCTGTCTCATCTCAGATATGTTTTTGAAAGGCCCTTTCATAAGAGGTTCTGTAAAAAGTAGTGCTCATGGGGAAAGTATTATTCTGAAATCATCCTGCTTAAAATCAACTTTCTGAACTGCCATGCAGTCTTGGCAAATACGAATTTCCATCACCCCTTTGCTACATGCCAAGTTGGAATATTGAGAATGCTGTCTATTATTCAATCTAAGTAAAGTACATTACTTTTAATTGGAGGTTGTTTCACTGCCTTTTTGAATTAGGAGACTAATCATTCATCAGAAACACACAATTAAGGATTTTTGTGTTAATTTGGCATTATTGCCATTGATCCAAAAGTGTTGTTATCTTTTAAGCAAGAGCTGAAGTGAGTTCCTCCCATATGTTTTGGCAGAATTGGTGCATCTGTAAGATTCAGCGCTAAGCCCTCCATGCCTTGGCATAGCAGCTGCACAGATCAGTGCTCCGGGGCTTGTTCCAAGCACATCACCTCATAGATTTGCAACAATAAATCAGAAATTTCAAATCTACTGAACAAAGTTTCCTACCGGATCTGTAAGTTGATTTACTTTTGCAAACATCTATAAAGCATCTTTTCATGTAAGTCACTGTATAAATATTATTAACTTTTCAGCTATCTTGCCCAGAGCCCAAACAAGCTGCAGAAAATATTTTATTTTACCTCAAAAAGCATTTTATGCTGGATAAAGAGAATACATACAAAGTTTCAAAGCTTCAAAGAGAGAAAAAATATTTCAGAAACCTACCAGTATTTACTATGGTTTGATTAGAAGTAAATCTTAGATAGGCAAAGATTTCTTCAACTGCACAGTAAAAGCACCCCCAAAAGAAAAAAGTTGATAAATTAGACTTTATCAAAACTAAAAATGTCTGATTATCAAAAGAGTCCATTAAGAAAATAAATAGACATACCAGAGAATCAGAGAAAATGTTCGTAATACATATCCGAAGATGGACACATACCCAGAGCATATTTAAAAATCGCTACAAGTCTCCAACTTTAAAAGTGCAATAAATATTAGCAAAAGTTTTGAATAGACACATTCCACAAGAAGATATACAAGTAGCCAATAACCACATGAAAGAGTTTTCAGCATCATTAGTCATCCACAAAATGCAATTTATTTATTTATTGAGACAGGGCCTTGCTCTCTCTCCTAGGCTGGAGTACAGTGGTGCAATCTCAGCTCACTGAAGCCTTGACCTCCCTGGCTCAAGCAATCCTCCCATCTCAGCCTCCCAAGTAGCTGGGACTGCAGGTGCACACCACCATGCCCAGCTAATTTTTGTATTTTTTGCAGAGACTGGGTTTTGCTATGTTACCCAGGCTGGTCTCGAACTCCTGGGCTCAAGCAATCCACCCACCTCAGCCTTCCAAAGTGCTGGGATTACAGGAGTGAGCCGGCGTGCCCGGCCAGTAAAATGCAATTTAAAATAAATAAAATACCATTTATACTCACTAGAACGGCAAAAATTGAAAGCAATGACAACACCAAGTGTCAGCAAGGACATGCAGCATCTGGAGCTCTTGGACCTTGCTGGTGGTGATGTCATACAGTAAACCACTATGGAGAACTATTTGACTTCCAGCAATTCCTCTCCTACCTATTTACAAAAGAGGAATGATAATCCATGTCCACAACAAGAAATTGACTTGTACAAGCATATTCATAGCAGTTTTATTTATAATAGTCCCAAACTAAAAGTAGCTCCAGTGTCCCTTAACAGGAAAATAGTACACACATTGTGGTATTTTCCCATAATGGAACACTCTTTAGTAATAAAAAGAAAAGCACTGCTGACACACATGACCACCTGGATGCATCTCAAAAGCATCACGCTGAATGGGAGAAGCCGGGTACAAAAGGCTAGAGGGTATGACTCCACTTCTGTGAAATCCAAATTCAGACAAAACAAATGTATGGTTCTAAAAATCAGCTAGTGTTGAGAACGTGGCTGGAAAGAAGCACAGAGAGATTTTTAGGGGGGATGGAGATGCTCTTATCTTGCTTTGGATGGAGGTTACAAGGGTGTATACGAATGTTAAGTCTCAATGACTGAAAGGGCTCCACTTCTGCTAATAGCCAAGTAGCTCCTACCAGGTTATTCTACCCTCTAATAATAACTATAAACTCTGGGGAAAATGTTAAAAAAAAAAAAACTATCTGAAACTCCTAGAGAGTGAGGAAATCAGACAAATACTGGAAGGCGAGTATTGTTTGGATAGACAGAATACAAGTGAGAGAATTTGGTATTTGTATGGCTTTAGCCTGAGGGCATACCACAGTCTATATACCAAGCAGAGCAGCTACAGCTTGGACGTGTGCTGCCTTACTGGCTTGGAGAACACGATATCAGAAGTTGGGTTGACTTCTACAGCTAGAAATGAGGAAATCATCCCCCAGAAAAGACAGACAGACACAGGGAGCCTCAAATACTATGTGTATACTCTGCTCAAACTGTTTCTTAGCCCCCAGACCACACCTGCGGACTTCCAGCCATCTAGCTGAGGCCAAAGAAACAGCTAAACTTTTAGCTGCCTTCAGCTGCAGGGCACAGGGTTTGCAGTTTGAGTCTAGACATCTGCCTGCTAGCATGTCTCTACAACATATCATTTGCCCAGAATATAATCCAAAATTATTCAATAAAGAAAGAGGAAAGCATTACCCATACTCAAGAGAAAAGGCAATCAATGGAGCCTGACCCTGAGGTGTTCCAGATATTGGAACCAGCAGGCAAGGAATTTAAAGCACCTATTACAACTATGCTATAGGATGTAAAGGACAGTGGTCAGAATGAAGAAAAAGATAATAAATGCAGCCAAGAATTCAACACTAGATAAAAAGAACAAAGTGGAAATTCTATATCTGAAAAATCAAATACCTGAAATACAAATTCAATGGATGGGCTTAATAGCAGATTGGAAATTTTAAAAGAAAAGAGTTATTGACTTTTAAAACAGAAAAACAGTAATGATTTAATCTGAAGAAAAAAGAGTGGAAAAAATATTGCAAATAATGAATAAAATCTTAGAGACCTACAGGGCAATATTAAAAGACGTAACATACACAGGATCTTTAGAGTTCAAGAATGAGAGGAAAGAGAGAATGAGCGTCCCCACAACCAGAAAAATATTTGAAGAAATAATGGCTGAAATGTTTCCATGTTTGGTGAAACACAAAATTTGTAGACTCAAGAATCTCAGCCAACCCTGAATCTAGGTGATCAGATGTGAATGTTCACTGTACAAATCTTTCCATTTTTCTCTGTTTAAAATTTTTCATAATACAGATGTTTACAAATAATATAAAAACTCATCAAAACAACTAAGATGTGCATATTTTTTATGTTAATTATATCTCAATTTCTTTAAGTAGCTAATCTAATTATAGAATGTATTCGGTGGATATTCAAGCTTCAGGCATTAACTGGAAGGTACAATATTTCTCACCTTTTCGATTCCTGCTTAACGTAGGTAAATTGTAGCCCATGGGAGAGGGGGTGGGCGATTGGCATTGTCTGAGATGGCTTTGCTCCCAAATCCTCTGCTCACTCATCAATTCTCATGTCATTCAGTAAAAGCTCTTGAATTTGTCTCATGGATAACTATACACATCTAACCAAGAGGTTTTGAAAGACCAAGGAAAGAAGGATGAGTGACAACACAATGCCATGCACAGCTTCCTCCCACTGGGCTGTTGGTGACCTGTGTGTGCATAAAAACAATCAATTGGAAAGCCCACCCTTTCAACCCTGTATGTAGGTATATGATGACAAAGAATACAGTTGAGAAGGTTAGTGCCCTACCTTTGTCATTAACTACTTACATGACTATAAATAAACTCCTAGATTGACTGGGAACCCCATTTCTTCTCTACAATACATAAAGGCAAAAAAAGAATGTATGTAGGCATATGATGACAAAGAATACAGTTCAGAAGGTTAGTGCCCTACCTTTGTCATTAACTACTTACGTGACTATAAGTAAACTCCTAGATTGACTGGGAACCCCATTTCTTCTCTACAGTACATAAAGGCAAAAAAAGAATTGCTCCCTCAAGCCCCTTTCATGTCTAATATTTGTGGTCATCACTGGGCTCTTCAGAAAAGGATATTAATAATTCTGTAATTCTGGGAAATCATCTGTGATGCAGGGTGAACCAAGTCAGCTTGAGACAATCTCTGGCCAAAGTCAAGAATACAGTTTCAGCTGACCCCATTTGAACCCAGCGAATGTGAACATTTTCAAATAAGCATCCCAAACTATTAACAATTGTTCTTTCTTCAAAAAAGGGAATTGACATTAACAATCAAGTGGGTTTTAAAAGATACAAAAATCCCCAAAGAAAAAGTCTTGTGCTAGGATTCAGTTCGTACAGAACTGACATCATGTAGGGGGAAAGGAAAAAAAAACCACCTACAATAAAATGTTATGCCTGTCCCTGTTTTCAACGTCCTCCCACGTATCTCCTGCTTCTGTTGAAACTTGTTATTGCTAAAGTACTTTTTTATTATAAAAAGAGCTACAGTTCCAAAAGAGATTATTGGCACGCAAATTCAGCTGCGGTGTTAGAGGCAATTAAATTGTGTTTGGTAGTTTCTTTCTTGGGCGTTTGATATTATTACGGTTGTCAATGCGCCCAGAAGAGGGCTGCTTTCCATTAATCATACATACAGAAATATAACAAGTATTATTCTTAGAAATATTACACTAATCTTTGACTATTTCTTTTTGACGGCAAAGAGATAGATTATGTCAGGCAATATTGGAAAAAATAAAAACAAAGACCTAGCTACTGATAAAAAGAGATATATGTTCAATTGCTAATCAAAACATACAAGTAACTCCAAAAGGCTCATCCATTAATACAGGGTGCTTTATATTCAGAAAATTATTTCCAGAGTAAATCTAAAACATAATCAAAATTTGTTTAAACAATAAGCCCTCGACTCTGCAATACCATGACACTGTGAGACCATGAGACTACAGTACTAGGCACATCCACAGACCGTGAGCCTGTGAGACTGAAGACCATGACGAAGTGGGACAAGGCAATGATGAGACGTTGAGACCACAAGACTGCAAGACAGCAAGTCTCAAGATTGCAAAATGTCCATGTTAAGATTGTGAGAACTCTGAGTTTGTGATGGAATGCAGTTTCCATTCCTTTTCTGCGACATCTGACTTATTGTTCTACTAAGCAGTTAAATGAGCAGAAAGAACTTAAAGGCTAGGCATGGTGGTTCACACCTGTAATTCCAGCATTTTGGGAGGCCAAGGCGGGTGGATCACTTGAGTTCAGGAGTTTGAGACCAGCCTGGCCAACATGGTGAAACCCCATCTCTACTAAAAATACAAAAATTAGCCTGGCGTGGTGGTGGGCACCTGTAATCCCAGCTACTTGGGAGGCTGAGGCAGGAGAATCACTTGAACCCAGGAGGTGGAGGCTGCAGTGAGCCAAGATCACACCATTCTCCAGCCTGGGCAACAGAGCAAGACCCTGTCTCAAATAAATAAATAAATAAATAAATAAATAAAATAAAAAATAACTTAAAATATTCTGTTAATTTATTTGGAAATAACTCACCTTGGATCTCTTTGTCTTTTTAAAATAATTCTTTGGGTAGTTAATTTAGATTCATTAAAATTATAAGAGACTTCTGGCTTTAGGATGGTCAAGCAGAGACATTTCTTTATGTCTTTCCTCTTGACAACCACTTCATATTAACCAGAATAAGAAACACAAACTCCTGTTTTGATGAAATTTTCAATCGCCATCCACAAAGTAGGAAGAGAGAAAACAGTTGCTGGGATAGTATAACTTAACAGGAGAGTGAAAGGTCAAATCTAAATTTTGCAGAAGGTGATGCCAGCAAGCAACAAGCAAATTTGCTTTACAGACCCAGGGAAAGGCTTAGGAATTGGAGGCACTGGATACTTTGAAAGGTGAAGGTCAGGGAGAAGGGCTAAACACAGCGGTTTTACTGGAAATCTGTTTCAAAAGCAGTTAGATACCAGTGTTTCATCCTTTCCAAACAAGCAGGCCACTTTCCTTCCACTTCTGCTACTGAATATAAGAGGTAATTTATTTAGGGAAAGAAAATTAAAGAGGCTCAATATTCAGAAACACCAAGCACAGAGGAAGGTGGTAGTAAATCACTACACTGCAATCAGAAGAAAAGTCTGTATACTACATACCTACCTCTGTCAATTCCCAACTGACAGAATGCCAGGAGTCAGGCTTATACATCCTTCCAGATGAGAGATGAGAGGATCCATCTCTGGAGAAAGTGAAGCAAGCCAGAAAAGAAACCCAGATACTGACATTTTGGGGCCTCACTCAACATATCAGAGATGGTTAACTGCCATCACAAATAGACTCAAAAAAAGCCTGATGGTGCAAACACATTTATGTTTAATTCTTGCTGTGTAAGAGTCATGCCATCCTGCAGGCACCTGAGCTGATAGAATCTCTACTGTCTTTGACATATGATTTCTAAGGTCATTTTCTGAAGCTCTTTTTTATTCCAGCCATAAAGGAGTAGATTAGGGTATTTTAATGGACCAGGTCTGGAAGTGGCAAAAATCACTTCTGCTAATATTCCATTGCACAGAACTCAGTCACAAAGGCACTCTTTTTTTTTTTTTTTTTTTTTTTTTTGAGACAAGGTCTCACTCTGTCGCCCAGGCTGGAGTGCAGTGGCATGATCTCGGCTCACTGCAACCTCCGCCTCCTGGGTTCAAGTGATTCTCCTGCCTCAGCTTCCTGAGTAGCTGGAATTACAGGCATGTGCCACCAGGCTTGGCTAATTTTTTTTTGTATTTTTAGTAGAGACAGGGTTTCGCCATGTTGGCCAGGCTGGTCTCGAACTCCTGATCTCAAGTGATCCACCCACCTTGGCCTCCCAGAGTGCTGAGATTACAGGCGTGAGCTACCGTGCCAGGCCCATAAAGGCATTCTTAACTACAAGGAGGCTGGGAATGGATTTTGGTGAGCAGCTGGAAGTTTTTGCCACACTCAACCAAACAGCTAGTTCTGTGACTAATGACTTGACACAGCCCTCCACTCAGTAAGCCCTGTCTCTGCAGAGAGGCTTTTAGTGCTCACACCTGGTCAAATATAAACAAGCATCCATGAAACAAGAGTAGGACACAATACAAATAGAATAACTAGACAGGATTTTTGGAAATTAAAAGTATTAAAGCCAAAATAAAACATTCAATTAAAATGTTGAAAAATTAAACTAATCTCCCAGAAGTGGGAATAAACAGAGATGAGAAGAATAAAAAGAAAGGAAAGAAAAAATTTATACGTAGGGATGTAAAGACCGTTTTAACATCAGCACTGGAAGTTAGAAGCAAGAGATCGGTGTCCTCAAAACTTTGAGTAAAAGTATCCACCCGGCCAAATGATTAACCAAGTATGAGGACAAAATAAAGAAAATGTCAGACATGCAAAGCTTCAAAACATTGATCTTCCATCAGTCCTTACTTAGGAAGCCAATAACAAAGAGAAGAAACAAAAACAAGCAAAACAAGAGAAGAGGCCGGGCGCGGTGGCTCACGCCTGTAATCCCAGCACTTTGGGAGGCCGAGGCTGGCCAATCACGAGGTCAGGAGATCGAGACCATCCTGGCTAACAAGGTGAAACCCCGTCTCTACTAAAAATACAAAAAATTAGCCGGGCGCGGTGGCGGGCGCCTGTAGTCCCAGCTACTCGGGAGGCTGAGGCAGGAGAATGGCGTGAACCCGGGAAGCGGAGCTTGCAGTGAGCCGAGATCGCACCACTGCAGTCCGCAGTCCGGCCTGGGCGACAGAGCGAGACTCCGTCTCAAAAAAAAAAAAAAAAAAAAAAAAACAAGAGAAGAAGGAGGTAAACACAGGATTCAAGAAATAGGGCACCCAAAACAGGAAGGAAGAGGTGCAGAAAAGTCTTAGAAAGATGGCAAAGAGATGTCTCAGTATAAGAGTTATGTACAGGCCCACAGACAAACAAATACATATTGAAAAATTAAACAGAAGTCAACAAGAGTGGTTGTCTTCAGAGAAAAGGAAAGTGGAGCTCCTTATCAAAATAGACTTTACTATATGAAAAATTTTTATTGAGAAGTGTTTAACATAATTAGTGGGTAATACGGCAAAACTACAAGGTCAGAGAAAACTGAGCAGAGAGGTGAAGGATAACAGACGACATATTGCCCTGTAATCCCAGCACTTTGGGAGGCCGAGGCAGGCGGATCACGAGGTCAGGAGTTTGAGACTAGCCTAACACAGTGAAACCCCATCTCCACTAAAAATACAAAAATTAGCTGGGCATGGTGGCACATGCCTGCAGTCCCAGGTACTTGGGAGGCTGAGGCAGGCAAATCACTTGAAACCAGGAGGCGGAGGTTGTGGTGAGCCAAGATCATGCCGCTGCACTCCAGCCTGGGGAACAGAGCGAGACTCCGTCTCAAAAAAAAAAAAAAGACTACATATTGGCTAAAGAGTACACTGCTCAGGTGATGGGTGCACTAAAATCTCAGAATTCACTACTAAAGAACTCATCCACGTAACTAAAAACCACCTGTTCTCCAAAAATTATTGAAATTAAAAAAGAAAACTAAGCAAATGGAAAAATAAAATTATTAATTACAGAAAGAAAAGTTATACAAGAAGAAATATAATCACAGTATACAACAAGATAGAGTAAACAATATTTACATAGACTTTTAGTTATCCTAATTTGGTTCCTAATGGAATCGGAGCATGATTTAACTGGATCTTAAGCTTCGTAAGTTTCTCACGGGCTGCAGTCAAGGTGTCAGCTCAAATACTATCATCTCAGCTAAACAATTGACTGGGGAAGGAAGCGCTTCCACGCTCACTCAATAGTTGTTGGCAGCATTTGGTTTCTCACAGGCTGTTACAAAGAGCTCCAGTCCCTCAATGGATGTTGGCCAGAGGCCACTTTCAAATCCTAGCCATGTGGGCCTCTCCAATATGGCAGTGTGATTCAGCAAAGCCAAGAAAGCAATATAGCCAGTCTGCTAGAAAGCCAGAAGGTATACAATCTTATGTCACATAATCACAGATGCGGCATTCTTTGAGATATTGCCCTCTTTTATTGATTAGAAGCAAGTTACTCCAGGAGATGAGATTACACGAGGCCATGTAAACCTGGAGGTGAACATAAGTGGAGCCATCTTAGAAGCTGCCTAACACACACAGTTAAAATAATTTTTCAGTTTTTATGGGTTGAATTCAATGTTTCAGATTAGACTAAAAATGAGGTAAGATTCTATTGAGGGTGGAGGGAGAGGAAAGGAAACAAGAAAGTTAAAAGTTTTCATCTACCATGTAGGAAATCCACAGACAATGTCTAACAGAGCTTAAACAAATGATGGCATAAAAATGGCGTTCAGGAATACGAAGGTAAATGCCAAAGGAAATCTCAAAAAAATTGACAATGATTACCTCTGGGGAGAGGATAGGGTAGATGACTGGCTTTTTTTGTTACTTTGCACTATTTTCGTTTATATTATCTAATAAAATTAATAATAATAAATAAAAGAAACTAGTAAAGATGAAATTATCATTCTTTCTAGTCATTAGATGAAGAAAACAGTAATAAAATACGCAAATTTCCTAGCCGGCCATGGGGGCAGGTGTCTGTAATCTCAGCTACTCTGGAAACTGAGGGAGGAGAATTGCTTGAACCTGGGAGGCGGAGGTTGCGGTGAGCCGAGATCACACCACTGCACTCCAGCCAGGGTGGCATAGTGAGACTCTGTCTCAAATATATATATATATATGCGACTTTCCTTTGGCCACTGGCTAATAAAATCATGAGGAAATATAAATTAATACCAAACCAGGAATCTAGGGCAGGATGGTTTTTCTTTCCCTAAATAACATTAACTAGGGAGAGAGTTGACATTTCTCAAATAAATCTAAATGGACTGGATTTTGATTGCTAAAGGAAAACCTTTAATGTTGATCACATTAATTGGATTTCAGAATTTTTTAAAGCCTTTTATTACTCTATTCATTTTATGATTTTTTATGTCATTTGCATTGATTTTTACCTCCTAACATGTAAAAAAAAATGCCAGATATTCACTGTTATTTCTAGTTTTTTCTTCAGTAGGTACAACAGACTACTTAAGTTCTGTGTGTGTGTGTTCACAAATACAAAAGATAAATTGCAAAGGACATTTAAAAATTTTTAACATTTTCTCATGAAAGCATAAGAACTTTCTTGAATAGAGTACCCTTTTAGAAATAGTACTACATCTTTAACTGTTTTCATAAAGTATTCCTTTTCTTCTTGGTAATTAGTAAAAGCTTTTCCTTAGATTATAAAAAGGTAGGTTTGCAACTCCAATTTCTCTTTGCATTTCTTAGAAAGTATAAAAGAGTCTACCTAATAAGCCTATGTTCTCTTTTTATGAATAGACATTGATGTAAGGATGGAGAATACACTTTTTCCTTCTTTCTGGTGCAACCTTTAATTATTCCTAAAGTCAACTGAGGGTTATTTTTATTTGTTATTGGATCTTCAGGTTTTTTTTTTTAAACTGGATGTATGTCCATTTCCTTGACCTAATTGACATATTGCTTTTGGATTTAGGCTTAAATTTTAACTAGAACTAACTCTGAGTCACTATATTACACCAAATTCTCAGAATGCACAGGTTGCAGGCTGACCTTCAAGTGAGGGCCCCAACTCCCTTATGTACAAGAAGGCAGAGGTAAAGCCCCTTGCTCAAGGTCACATGTTCGGTTAGTACCAGAACTGAGAGGATACCCTGTGCCCTGGTCTTCCTACAGACTCCTATTCAATGCTCTTTCCACTACGTTGAAGATTCTCCCACCATTTCTTCTGATAAGTAAATGTATATGAGGAGTATATATTTTTTATATTTAAAAATAGGCTCCTCTAGTTCTAGGTGAGAAAGTAAAGATGAATCCACAACAAACTTCTACACAAATGTTTATAGCAGCACTATTCATAAAAGCCAAAAAGTGGAAACAGCCCAAATGTTCATCCACTGATGGATGGATAAACAGCATGTGCTATGCATATACAATGGAATATTATTCAGCAGGAAAAAGGAACGAAGTACTGATACATGCTACCACATGGATGAATGTTGAAAACATTGTGCTAAGTGAAAGAAGCCAGGCACACAAGTCCATAGATTGTATGATTTCATTTATATGAGATGTCCAGAATAGGTAACTCTAAGAGGCAGAAAGTAGATTCATAGATGCCTTTGGCTGGGGGAAATGGGCAGGGTGGAGGGAGGAGGTGCTGGGGAAGTGAAAACTAAAGGGTGTGTGATTTCCTTTTGGGCTGAGGAAAATGTTTTATAACTGATCGTGGCAATAGATTCACATGCTATAAATATACTAAAAGCCATTGAATTGTACACCGTGTGTGAACTTAATGGCATACTACCTATATCTCAATAAAACTGTTAAAATATGCCTTTGTTGGTGTTCATTGTAAAGAAAATTTAGAGTTACATCATCAATTACTATGATGAGATGAAATAACTACCAGTAGTCTAGATAAATGGCCAAAAAAATAGCAAGGTGGCTCAGAAGTGGAATAAACTGAATCTATTTTTCTTTATTTCCTGCTCTTTACCTTATTTACTAGATCATTGTTGTAGACTCTGCTAGGAAATAATCTGAATGTCAGTTTAACACTGTGATAGGCTCACTCCATCTGCAAACATTATGGACCACCTACTTGATGATGAAAATTGCACTGGCCACTAGAGATAGAATGACATACCAAAATGTAAAATTCACTCAGGGAGTTAATTGCAAAAATTTCCAGTTTTTTAGAAGACAATTGTATTAGTCCGTTTTCAAACTGCTATAAAGAAATATCTGACACTGGGTAATTTATAAAGGAAAGAAGTTTAATTGACTCACAGTTCCAGATGGCTTTGGAAGCCTCAGGAAACTTACAATCATGGCAGAAGTCAAAGGGGTTCCATGTGTTCTCATTGTTCAATTCCCACCTATAAGTGAGAACATGCGGTGTTTGGTTTTTGTCCTTGTGATAGTTTGCTGAGAATGATGGACACAGGAAGGGGAACATCACACACTGGGGCCTGTTGTCGGGGGGAGTGGGGAGGGATAGCATTAGGAGATATACCTAATGTTAAATGACGAGTTACTGGGTGCAGCACACCAACATGGCACATGTATACATATGTAACTAACCTGCACGTTGTGCACATGTACCCTAAAACTTAAAGTATAATAATAAAAAAAAAGAAGTCAAAGGGGGAAGCAATCAACTTCTTCACAAGGCAGCAAGAGAGAGAAGAGAAAAGGAGGAACTTCCGAACACTTATGAAACCATCAGATCTCATGAGAACTCACTCACTATCAGGAGAAAAGCATGGGGGAAAACACCCCATGACCCAATCACCTGCTTCCCTCGACACGTAGGGACTGCAGGTCCCTCCTTTGACACATGGGGATTATAAGAGATGAGATTTGGCTGGGGACACTGAGCCAAACAATATCAAAAATGAAGGAGATAACATTTGTTGAACACATTCTATGTCCCAGACACTGCGCCAGGTATTGTGCATAGATTTTAAGTTGTAACAATAGTCAATTGAAAAACCTTTTATCACACTGCAGTTAATATTAGTTGGCTACAAGAAAATTGAAATCATTAAATGGTTCAGTTAACTTTCATGTATTTCATATATAAACTCAGTCACTTCTTTTTCATTACTGTAATTCAAGAACCTCCTCCACTAACAATGATCAAAATATAGTAGATGTGATAAACATTTGTTGAACTCTCAAAGGCAATTAATGATTTAGCAATATAATTGCCTTGTGACTGTGTAGTTCATTAAAATCCAAAGTGCCACCAAATAGTTGTCTTATTGATTCTTTTAATCTCCAGCTCAAGAAAGCAGAAAAAGAAAGCGATTTGCAAAGGCAGCATATAGAGAGTACTGAGTGTCGTTTGTGAGCCTGATTAAGCCCAGTGCAAGGTTCTGGGCTATCATGGATATTGTGGTCTGATGATTTTTCCACTGATTTGCAAGACTAACCACTGCTTTCTGCTTTATTTCACCTGGCTTCCAAGACTCCCTCAGGCACAGGAGTTGCTTTATTCTTTTGTACTCAAGCTTGAAAAGTGAGTTTCTCTTTATTACATATGCTTTTGGTATACAGCATCTGAAGGCAGAAGCTTAGCTAGGGACAACATTTGCCCCTGGTGCAGTCAGGTGGATGATACCAACCCTTCTAAGTGTGACCTTTCTTCTGAGAACAAAGTGCTTTCCAAATATTATCTGACTGAGCTCAGAACCCCAGCAGAGAGGCTTGGAGAAAGAGACTAGTATTAAATTATTTCACACCTGGGAGAATCAAATAAAAAGAAACTTTCCAACGGAAATGTGAGAAAATTTTAACCTCTTAATTACTAGAGGCAAACTGTCCAAGAAATAATTTGAGGATGAATTTGCCTCCTGCATATGGACAATGGCTAACACAGCCCACAGTGCTTGGGTGTATTCTGCTTAAATGGTAGCCATCCAATACACCCAGATTCAGGCATTGCAAACAGCCCTTTGCTCAAAGGAAACTGCCTGACAGTGCCTTAAACCTGGTGGGCTCTTGATAAAGGAGTGTTAAATTGATTTTGGAAAATGTGATAGTGATTCTTGGCATAAAAATAGAGTAACTGCTATAAGCAAGAAGATACATAAGACAGTGTCTACAATAATTGCTGCTGTGACCTTAATAAGGAGACGTAGACACCATGAAGTCACTTGCTACGAATTTAGATTGCATCCTCCCATAGCAGGACTTGGGAGGTATGTATATACAGCTGTTATATACATCTATATATGTATTTTAACATACACATGTATGCATGTGTGTGCACGTGTGTGTGTGTAAACTAGCACTTATATATACATAGTATATGTGTATATATGCTGAAATAAATATATATAATGAATGAAAAGTACAAACGACCTATTAGAGTTTGAATTAAAACAATTCTTTATCAATTGATTTCTGTGACTGAACATTTTTACTAAGTTATTCATTGGAACGGTAAAAAATTAGTAAATAACCCACCCTCTAAGTATGTGAACTTGGCCAAGTTATTGACTCTCCGTATGCCTCAGTTTCTTCATCTGCAAAATGAGGTTAATAATATCATTTACCTCATTGGGTTATATAAGTATTAAATGAGTTAATAACCAAAAGCACATATTCCAGCGCCCAGTGTAGCATGTGCTTCATAAGTGCTGGTTGTCTCTGTTACTGTTGTTGTGGTTGTTGCTAGGTGTTCATCATCAGAGGAATGGAAATGAAAATGTGGTGTGTGTGTTTTATATATATATATGTATGTGTGTGTGTGTTTTTTATATATATATAAATAAAGCTTAAAAAAGAAGAAAAAATAATGTTTTGTTATTCTCATCCGGGAGTACCAACAAGTGAAATAAAACCTCCAAATTCATTGTAACAAAGTTTTCTGTAGGCTTCTAAGTGATACTGAAATTGTAATTTTTAAAACATCTTTACTGTTATTCAAAAGTCAAGTTTGTGTTTATATATATATATATATATATATATATAAAACATACACACACATACAATGGGATATTATTCTACCTGTAAAAAAGAAGGAAATCCTGTCATTTGTGACAAATTGGATGAGCCTGGAGGACATTATGCTAAGTGAAACAAGCCAGACGCAGAAAGAAAATACTGATGATCTCACTTATATGTGAAATCGAAAAACATTGAACTCATAAAATCAGAGAGTAGAAAAGTGATGACCAGGAACTAAGGGTTGGGGGAAAAGGGGAGATGTTGGTCAAAGGTACAGGCTCTCAGCTATAAGATGAATAAGTTCTGGAGACTTACTGTACAGCATGGTGACTATAGTAATAATAACGTATTGCATACTTGAAATTTGCTAAGAGAGTAGATTTTAAGTATTCGCACACAAAATCAGTAACAATGTGAGGCGATGGATATGTTAATTAGCTTGACTGATTAACATATGGAAATCATTTTGCAATGAATATGTATGTCAAAACCTCATGTTACATAGAAGCAGAGAGTAGAACAGTGGTTACCAAAGGCTGGGGTGTGTGGGGGCAGGAAGAGAAGACAGAGTTTGGTCAAAGGATACAAAATTAAGATTAGCCCAAAGGAATAAGTTCTGGTGTTCTAATGCACAGTAGAATGACTACAGTTAATGGTAAAGTATTGTATATTACAAAATAGCTAAAAGAGAGACTTGAATATTCTCACCACAAAGAAATGATAAATGGATAAAGTGATAGATACACTACCCTGATTTGATCATTATACAACATAGATATGAATAAAAACATCAAAGCACACCCCATAAATATGTTCAATTACAATGTGTCGCTTAAAAATCATGCTGTACACCTCGAATATATACCATTCTTTTTTGTTCGTTTGTTTGTCTGAGACAAAGTCTCGCTCTGTCACCAGGCTGGAGTGCAGTGGTGCAATCTCAGCTCACTGCAACCTCCACCTCCTGGGTTCAAGCGATTCTCCTGCCTCAGCCTCCCAAGTAGCTGGGATAACAGTGTGCGCCACCATACCCAGCTAATTTTTGTGTTTTTAGTAGAGACGGGGTTTCACCATGTTGGCCAGGATGGTCTTGATCTCCTGACTTCATGATCCGCCCACCTCGGCCTCCCAAAGTACTGGGATTACAGGTGTGAGCCACTGCGCCCAGCCATATATACCATTCTTACTTGTCAATTATACCTCAATAAAGCTTAAAAAAGAAGAAAAAATAATGTTTTGTTATTCTCATCCTGGAGTACCAACAAGTGAAATAAAACCTCCAAATTCATTGTAACAAAATTCTCTGTAGGCTTCTAAGTGATACTGAAATTGTAATTTTTAAAACATCTTTACTGTTATTCAAAAGTCAAAAATAAGAGATGTCGGTGAGGTTGTGGAGAAAAGGGGACGCTTATACGTTGTTGGTGGGAATGTAAATTAGTCCAGCTACTGTGGAAAGCAGTCCAGAGAGTTCTCAAAGAACTTAACCACCATTCAACCCAGCCATCCCATTACTGGGTATACCCAAGGGAAAATAAATTGTTCTACCAAAAAGACACACGTACTCTTATGTTCCTTGCAGCAATATTCACAGTAGAAAAGACATAGAATCAACTTAGATGCCCATCAACAGTGGACGGAATAAAGAAAATGTGGTACATATACACTATGGAAACCATATACAGAGCCATAAAAAAGAATGAAATCATGTCCTTTGCAGTGACATGGATGCAGCTGGAGGCCATTATCCTAAGCGAACTAATGCAGAAACAGAAAACCAAATACCACATGTTCTCACTTATAAGTACAAGCTAAACATTGAGTACACATGGACATAAAGACGGGAATAACAGACGCTGGGGACCGCTGGAAGAGTGAGGGAGGGAGGGGGTGGACGGGGCTGAAAAACTTCAGGTTGGGTATTCTGCTTGTTACCTGGGCGACGGGATCATGCAGGCCCCAAACCTCAACGTCACACAAAAGTTTATGTAACCAACCTGCACATGTACCCCCGAATCTAAAAGTTGAAATTTCAACAATAAAAAATAAAGTAGCCTTTATATGGTAGAATTATAAATAGCCTGATCTTTTGTTTGTTTGTTTTTGCTATGATGACTATTTCAAACAGGTAACCAGTAACCAGTTCAAGTCAGGGGAATATTTACAGTATAAATAAGGAAATCCTTGCAAGTCTTGCCTCTCATATTTGTTACTACAGCTAGCTAGAACATTTTCTATATATCTTGAATTAGAATTTGTTTAATGCTTGAGGATATGATTTTAATTTTTCATTTCTAAAAACTTATTAATCAAACAATTTTTACCTTAATCAAGGTGTTTAAGTAGCTCTTTCTTGAGTCATGCTTACCAAGGACACAGACTCAGGGTTGGCTTTAGATAAAACTGTAAAAAGACAGCATTTGGTTTTACGCCCCCAGTTTACCCCATCTGTTTTCTTAACCTTCCTCAACCTCCACCTTCCACTTTCTTCCCTGTCCTCCAAAGCAAACTGTGTCTACATCACCTACCTGATTTAACCCATCAAAACTTCTTAAAAGAAGCAACTGAAATTAACATACCATCATGTCTTTTTATTTTGGTGATTTTCCCCATACTGAATTTTAATAAGAAGCAATGCTTGAGCTTCTCACATCAGGGTATCTTTAATCCTGTGGTACATTTGGCTGCCAGAGTATGCAAAGTCACAGGATAAACACGGTACATCTTCTTGAATGTAAAGATTAATGGTACCTCATTTTAAATATTTGTATGCTAAAATAAGCATGGCTACATTATAAGTGGGGATGGCAAAGTACCCCACAATTTTAAAGATAAAACACAAAACTGTGAAAAGAAAGCTTATATTTGTGATAGGCTATTTGAGCCAAAGCCCTCAAAGCCACCCATTCCTCTACCATTGATGTCATGACCCTCTGCTACCAGACAGGCATCTGCAGAAACATTTCAGGAGCACTATCTCAGTTAAAGGGATGAAGCCCTAATGTGTAATTGCTGTATCATCCAGCTGGTAAGTTACCATAAATTGGCAAGAGGATGATGACTTTCATATAGCAAAAAGAAGTTGAAGTTCCAATATTGACTGGCTGTGTGATCTTGGGCAAATCGCTTAACCTCTCTGAGTAAATTTGCAAATCTGTGAATTGGGAATGAAGGCTTCACAAACACTGCTGAAGCTGAAGGAAAACAATTGTGAATACAGTTTATACACTATAAAATGCTATATAAAAGTAACATACTCTGGTTTGTTTCTGTTGTGGCTCAATCACTAGTTTTGTGGAAATGTCTGAAGGCCTTCTCTGAACCCTGGAATCTCACGGTACAGTGGAGCCCCATCCTGCCTACTGACTTGACTGCTGGTCTCCTATTTTCTTGTGGGCATACTTCTGGACTTTTAAGCTCAAGTTGCAAATTGTCTGTGGAGGCGTGTCAAAATTTGATCAAAAATAATTATCCATTTTGTGTAGTAAGATCTTACACAGAAATACAAAAACGTGTACATTTTAGAGAATCTGTGTGCTCAGTTCTGGTTCACTTTCCTCTTCCTGGAGGATCTGCAGGAGGCTTGCAAGAAATGCAGGGTTAGCTCTAGTGATGACTACTTGAGAGCTGGAAGTAGCTCAAGTAATTACATTCCTTTCATTTGGGACAAAGATTACCTCTATCTTTGGTTTGTTTGCCATCTGTCCTGGTAAATCTTCTGGGGAGAGACAAATATTCAGCTCTAGATTTTAGGTCCTCAATGGGCTATTTATAAAAATAGAAAATAATGCCTTCATCTGAACTTGAAACTCTTGCAGTAGGTTTGGATATAGAAATGCCACTTCCATTGTAGAAAGGTAAGCCATGCACTGCATATAGATAAATCATGCAGTATTTCACCCCTAAAAAGTACCCGAAATTGTCTTTTTTAGTTTCTTTTTCTTGCAACTGCTTGATGCAGACAGTTTTCCTTTAAATTGCTACTGCATTCTCCTTGTTGTGTGGACAACTGGGGAACTTGAGTCAACCTTGGGCATAGGAATTGTGAAGTTGGAGACACAGAATGCATGACCACTTTAAGGCTCCAAGAATAGTACCTCTCAAGAAAGGGTATGTTGGCAAACAGGCATTAAAAGTGTGTTTTCCTAGAGATTATTCTGGATAATGTGTTCTAATATATTCTGCTCCAGCTTGAGAGTTCACACATGTGACCACTGATCCCAGGCCTACCACTGACTGTACAACTGGTAGACCAGCCTCCTGCCCTGCTGGTATTCAAGGAAACTTAGGTAATGATGGAAAAGATGGATAAATATTCTAAGGAGATGAGAACAATCTCAGCTCTAATCTTCTCTTTAGCTTTGAGCAAGTTTGTTCACTTTCACAAACCCGCTTTCAGATTTTAGGGCACATTCCCCTTCCTTCCTTCCTTCCTTCCTTCCTTCCTTCCTTCCTTCCTTCCTCCCTCCCTCCCTCCCTTCCTTCCTTCCTCCCTTCTTTCCTTCCATGGCATCTCACTATGTTGGTCAGGCTGGAGTGCAGTGGCTATTCATGGGCATGATCATAGCACACGCTGGTTGCAAGAGATCCTCCTGCCGTAGCCTCCAAGTAGCAGAGACTACAGGTGTGTGCCATGACACGTCACTTTCTTTTCTGTTAAGAGAGATGATTATTTTCATATTGTCTCACAATTACACGGGTAATACATGCTCATTTCCAGAGAACAAAGGTAGATACAAAGAGGATAATAAAAATAACCTTTGTGAACATTTTAAAAGTCACCTTTCATGACTTTTAGCTATGCATATGTGTGTATTTAAAAATCAGAATTCTAGCCGGTCATGGTGGTTCACGCCTGTAATCTTAGCACTTGGGGAGACCGAGGCGGGTGGATCACCTAAGGCCAGGAGTTTGAGACCAGCCTGGCCAACATGGCGAAACCCCGTCTCTACTAAAAATACAAAAATTAGCCGAGCGTGGTGGCGGGTGCCTGTAATCCCAGCTACTCAGGAGGCTGAGGCAGGAGAATCACTTGAACCTGGGAGGCAGAGGTTGCAGTGAGCTGAGATCATGCCACTTGTACTCCAGCCTGGGTGACAGAGCAAGACTCCATCTCAAAATAAATAAATAAATATAAAATTTAAAAATAAAAATTAAAATCCTAACAGAGTCATTGAACATTAGCATGTCTTCTCTAAACTGTTTATGTCCTTTGACCAATTTTATTTTTTGACAGGGGGAATATTTTAAATCTTTATTAAAACGGTGCACAAAATACTGATTAATAACTTCAAATTTTGCAGAATTCATAAATTACCATGCTTCTAATTACAGAGATAAGACATCCTTCTTGTCAGAAACTTTTACCCTAACTGTAAAACTTAATTCTTCTTTCTGATGAAGCAATTATTGAGTAATTGATTTACTTATAGTGACGGCATAATGTACTTGATTTTAAGAACTATTGGCTAAATATGTTCTAATTGATTCAAAAGAACTTGCAATGCAAATTTTGTGTATCAGTTATAAACCAATAGAGATATAACACTTACTGATGATAAATTCAGTACAAGTACATTTTCTGGAGTCTTTTAATTTTAGGTTGATATTGTAAGAATGTCTGCTATAGCCTGTGGTGGATGGACATATATCAATATGTTTCAAGAAAGCCAAAGGAGAGCCTTGAGCTGACTTAAGGGAAAGCCAAGAGAAGACTTATTAGTACTTCAAAATAATTTTAAATGCCTTTTAAACTGGACTTGATATTTTTATATTCATTATTTTTTATCTTAAAAATCACCTATACAAACTATTCTAATTTCCTATTTTGACAAATATATTGATGGCAACGTTCTGCTTCTAGCAAGGTTTGATAAAAGTACCAACCAATTCTCTGCCCCTAAATTTTATTAATTAAAACACCAAGAAGGCCAGACTTGGTGGCTTACGCCTGTAATCCTAGCACTTTGGGAGGCCGAAGCAGGCAGATCAGGAGGTCAGCAGTTTGAGACCAGCCTGCCCAATATGGTGAAACCTCGTCTCTACTGAAAATACAAAAATTAACCAGGCGTAGTGGCACGCTCCTGTAGTCCCAGCTACTCAGGAGGCTGAGGCAGGAGAATCGCTGGAACCCAGGAGGCGGCGGTTGCAGCGAGCCAAGATTGTACCACTGCACTCTAGCCTGGGAGACACAGCAAGACTCCATCTCAAAACAAAACAAACAAACAAACAAACAAACAAACAAAAAGAAATCATGTCTTATAACCAAGTTTTCCAAAAAATTTTATGGTGACATTCCAGTTTTCTGAACTGTTAGAAAAGTTTCTGATTGTTATTTAGACCCATTAACTTTTAAAACAAAATTTACTTTGAAAATACAATCTAAGAGAAAGTCAATCACATTCACAAATGGAATCTATGTGAATAACTAAATAGGTTAATAATCTATATTCAATTGCTGAATGTCCACATGAATATCAAATGGACTGGTGCTTCGTTATTTACTTATTTAGCTTTTATGTTAGCAATAATCCTTTGCCCAAATTTTTAAGCAGGAATTCATCTTTTTCTGATTGAATTGCAAATCCTAATTGTCTATTAAGGATAGTAACATCTTATCATAGATGTAGTGACTTTGTGTCTGGTTTGTTCTTGGTCTTATAATTTATTAGGTTTTTAAAAAGTAAAAGTAACTATAATTTTTTTGAATGGCAAAAGCAAAAGGTATCACTGCAAAAAAAAGAAATAGCAAATATCAGTAAGCAAACAGAGCTTGTTGAAAAACAAAAGTTCACATTAACCTGCACCTAGAGATAACCACTATTAATACCTAGCAACTAAGAATTAGAAAATACATCTTTCCTGATGCTTTCACCTACATGAGCACATATTTCTCTTGACTATGGTTACTTGAGAATTGTTGCTGACTCTTTTTTATTTTGCAGTGAGCTATGCCTTTTTACTTCAGGTCTATGAATTAAAATCTCCACATAATTCAATTCTGGGGTTTTTTTCTCCTGTTTGAGAGACTTGACAGGCAGTTAAATCCATGTACTCTTCTAACAGGTTTTCCCCCTTTCTATTTCTCTGATTCAGTCTTTTGCCAAAAAGACTTTGTTTCTCCCTCTCATCTTTCCCTCTCTTTCTCTGTATTTTATTTTGATATACGGCCTTTTTTGTTTTATTATTAATCACATTTTCTTCTCTCTGTTTTTTTTTTTTTTTTTTTTTTTGTGAGACAAAATCTCACTCTGTCTCCCAAGCTGGAGTGTGGCAGTGCAATCATGGGTCACCGCAGCCTCAACCTCTTGGACTCAAGCCATCCTCCCACCTCAGCCTCCCAAGTAGCTGGGATTACAGGCCTGTGCCACCATACCTGGCTAATTTTCGATTTTTATTTTTTGTAGAGACTGGGGTCTCACTATGTTGCTCAGACTGGTCTCAAACTCCTGGACTCAGGCAATCCTCCTACCTTGGCCTCTCAAAGTGCTGGGATTACAGGTGTGAGCCACCACACCCGGCCCACATTTTCCTTTATACTTAATCTTTTTTCTCTGCTTTTTAATGTCAAAACTGAAAAGAATTATCTTTCAATTCGTCTTGTGTAAGATGAAAAAAGGTAGCATTACCTCCTATCCTTTCCTCAGCTTGATCTAACCTGGAATTTTAGAACTCAATTATGATTATGTCATTATTATTTAATTAACTAATTATTTGTGTTTTACTATTATAGAAAGCTTCTCTGTCAAGGCCTACTGATATTTTTATCATGTTGTAGGTGCATATTTATGTAAACTGGGTGTCTGTCTCATATTAAATTAGTTTCAATGCTCCTGCTCACTGCTGTTTCTTCTGTTGCCATAACCCACGCATTTTCCAGTTGTCTATTTTGATTTCTTGCTCAGTTACATGGACCAACTGGTGGAGACCCAAGTTTATGTCCTGTCACCCCTGTGCATGGCATACAGGTATGTGGCATCACTCTCTTTTCCTCAGCACCTGATGAGCCCTTTTCATCTAGAATCTGGTGTTTAGGAAAACTTTCTTCTTCCTTTCATTATTGCCTTGGGTCCATCAGAAACACTATTCTTCTGGAAGTCATAAATGTGAGCTCCTCATTATGTTCTGTGTGCCTCAGCATTTCTTTTCTTCCTTCTTTCATTTTTATCTCTATATTTTCTGTCTTAATCTCAGGAACAGTTTTGAGGGTTTTTTTCTACTTAAAAAATTTCATATTTTCAGTATCATATCTAGCATGCATTGCATACATCATGGTTTTTTATCTGAATACTTGTGTCTTTAATCTCTTTATATACAACTCTGATTTTAGAACCTCATGGCTCCTTATTTTGGATTCATGTATGCAAATTCTTTTAAGGCATATTGATAACATAGTCAAAGCCATTTAACTTTTTCCCTACTCCTTCTTGAGGTAAATCTGTTTCAGAGGGAAGCGCTTGCTTTCATTCTTCAGAGCAGTTCTTACATTAGGTTGAAGCATACAAAGTTGCCAGTATTTCAACAAGTTTTTACTTACAAACGTGGCAATTTTACAAGATTTAATCTAAAAGTAATGCTTTATCTTTTCTAAGATGTGTGACTTACCCATCCTTTCAGAAGCAAGTCTCTGCTGCCCAGATTGGCTTATAGGCAAGTTGAAGTTAAGATGAGTTTGTGGGATTTGTTTGTGGTTTTGTTGCTAATTCTTCAAGTCTAGGTGCTTAGGGAGAGGGAATGTTTTCCTTTTTCTTTCTTTCTGTTTTAATTCCTTCTAAAAAAAAAAAAAAAAAAAAAAAAACAGGATCCACGTGCGGAACGTGCAGGTTTGTTACATAGGTATACACGTGCCATGGTGGTTTGCTGCACCTATTGACCCATCCTCTAAGTTCCCTCCCCTCACACACCACCCCCCAAAAGGCCCTGGTGTGTGTTGTTCCCCTCTCTGTGTCCGTGTGTTCTCATTGTTCAACTCCTGCTTGTGAGTGAGAACATACAGTATTTGGTTTTCTGCTCCTGTGTTAGTTTGCTGAGGATGATTACTTCCAGCTTCATCCATATCTCTGCAAAGGACATAATCTCATTACTTTTTACGGCTGCATAGTATTACATAGCGTATTTGTACCACCTTTTCTTTATCCTGTCTACCATTGATGGTAATTTGTGTGGGTTCCAAGTCTTTGCTGTTGTAAATAGTGCTGCAATCAACATACATGTGAATGTGTCTTTACAGTAGAATGATTTATATTGCTTTGGGTATATACCCAAATAATGGGATTGCTGGGTTAAATGGTATTTCTGGTTCTAGATCCTTGAGGAATCACCATACTGTCTTCCACAGTGGTTGAACTAATTTACATTCCCACCAACAGTGTAAAAGCGTTCCTATTTCTCCACAGCCTTGCCAGCATCTATTGTTTCCCGACTTTTTAATAATTGCCATCTGACTGGCATGAGATAGTATCTCATTGTGGTTTTGATTTGCATTTCTCTAACGACCAGTGATGATGAACTTTTTTCATATGTTTGTTGGCCACATAAATGTCTTCTTTTGAGAAATGTCTGTTCAAAAAGTGCTTTGCCCACTTTTTGATGGGGTTGTTTGTTTTTTCTTGTAAATTTATTTGAGTTCCTTGTAAATTCTGGATATTAGACCTTTGTCAAATGGGTAGATTGCAAAATTTTTCTCCCATTCTGTAGGTTGCCTGTTCACTCTGATGATAGTTTCTTTTTGCTGTGCAGAAGCTCTTTGGTTTAATTAGATCCCACTTCTCAATTTTGGCTTTTGTCACACTTCCTCTTGGCATTTTTGTCATGAACTCTTAGCCCAAGCCTATGTCCTGAATGGTATTGCCTAGGTTTTCTTCTAGCGATTTTATTTTGGGCTTGACATCTAAGTCTTCAATCCATTTCAAGTTAATTTTTGTAGAAGGTATAAGGAAGGGGTCCAGTTTTAGTTTTCTACATATGGCTAGCCAGTTTTCCCAGCATCATTTACTGAATAAGAGATCCTTTCCCCATTGCTTGTTTTTGTCAGGATTGTTGAAGATCAGATGGTTGTAGATGTGTGGTGTTATTTCTGAGGTCTCTGTTCTGCTCCATTGGTGCGTATATCTGTTTTGGTACCAGTGCCATGCTGTTTTGGTTACTGTAGCCTTGTAGTATAGTTTGAAGTCAAGTAGCATAATGCCTCTGGCTTTGATCTTTTTGCTTAGGATTGTCTTGGCTATGCAGGGTCTTTGTTGATTCCATGTGAAATTTAAAATAGATTTTTCTAATTCTGTGAAGAATGTCAATGGTAGTTTGATGGGAATAGCACTGAATCTATAAATTTCTTTGGGCAGTATGGCCATTTTCACAATATTGATTCTTCCTATCCATGAGCATGGAATGTTTTTCCTTTTGTTTGCATCCTCTCTTATTTCCTTGAGCAGTGGTTTGTAGTTCTCCTTGATGAGGTCCTTCACACTCCTTGTTAGCTGTATTCCTAGGTATTTTATTCTCTTTGTAACGATTGTGAATGGGAGTTCATTCATGATATGGCTTTCTGCTTGTCTATTGTTGGTATAAAGGAATGCTTGTGATTTTTGCACATAGATTTTGTATCCTGAGACTTCGCTGAAGTTGCTTATCAGCTTATGGAGTTTTGAGGCTTAGATGATGGGGTTTTCTAAATATAAAATCCTGTCATCTGCAGACAACTTGACTTCCTCTCTTCCTGTTTGAATACCCTTTATTTCTTTCTCTTGCCTGATTGCCCTGGGCAGAACTTCCAATACTATGTTGAATAGGAGTGGTGAGAGAGGGCACCCTTGTCTTGTATGGGTTTTCAAAGGAAATGCTTCCAGCTTTTGCCCATTCAATATGATATTGGCTGTGGGTTTGACATAAATAGCTCTTTATATTTTGTGATATGATCCATCAATACCTAGTTTATTGAGAGTTTTTAACATGAAGGGATGTTGAATTTTATCAAAGTCTTTTTATGTATCTATTGAGATAATCATGTGGTTTTTGCCTTTGGTTCTCTTTCTGTGATGGATTACATTTATTGATCTGTGTATATTGAACCAGCCTTGTATCCCAGGGATAAAGCCAACTTGATCGTGGTGGATAAGTTTATTGATATGCTGCTAGATTCGGTTTGCCAGTATTCTATTGAGGATTTTCACATCAATGTTCATCAGGGATATTGGCCTGAAGTTTTCTTCTTTTGTTGTGTCTCTTCCCAGTTTTGGTATCAGGATGATGCTGGTTTCATAAAATGAGTTAGGGAGGAGTGAGAGAGTATTTTTCTTGAGATAAATTTACATTGTTATTTGAGCATCTCTGAATACTGGGCAGTGGGGAAGAAGGCAGAGCTATAAATATTCTCTGTGGTGAATATTGCACCTGTCATTTTCACATGAGACTGTGGATGCTGGACAGTAGAATTGACTCCATGTCTCCTTGGGACTGTGGAGCCATTTCTCTTTTCATTAATCATGGCAGACAAAACCAATAGTCAGCATGTTCTTCACTGCTACACGTGATTGCCAAATTTGATAAATAAAAATACAAGGTACGTAGTTAAATTTGAAGAAACAACAAATAGGTTTTTAATTTTAG